>NC_000020.11:5369365-5520880 GCF_000001405.40 Homo sapiens | reverse complement strand
AGTCTAAATTGCAGAAAAAAACCCTCAAAAACAATTGATGAGACTAGAATCTAATAACAGGTGTACCATAGTCATAGTTTTTTGTTTTGTTTTGTTTTGAGATGGAGTTTCACTCTTGTTGCCCAGGCTGGAGTGCAATGGCGTGATCTCAGCTCACTGCAAACTCTGCTCCCCCAGGTTCAAGTGATTCTCCTGTCTCAGCCTCCCAAGTAGCCGGGATTACAGGCACGTGCCACCATGCCTGGCTAATTTTTTGCATTTTTAGTAGAGATGGGGTTTCTCCGTGTTGGTCAGGCTGGTCTCCAACTCCCAACCTCAGGTTATCTGCCTGCCTCAGCCTCCCAAAGTGCTAGGATAACAGACGTGAGCCACCGCACCCGGCCCCATAGTTCTTAAAACATAATTTTCCTCTCTCCAGTCCTCATTTTTATTAAAAACAGACCACGATAGGACTGATTTGTTTGCAAAATAAGCTTTAGTCTTTTTATACTGATTATTTGCATAAAGCACAGCAAGAATAACTGTTTGCCATATAGGCTCCTTTTTATATTGGCTTTGATGAAACATTATTCCATGAGGAACCTCAGATAAGACTTTAAAGCCTTGAGCCCAGCCATGGTTTTTTGCCATCACATACCTGTATGAGTTGAGTAAATTTCTCTCCTCCTGAGGTCCTAATATAACTTGGGCCTTCCGGGCCTGCTAGGAACTGATATTCTTTACTTATCACAGGTTAGGAACCCTGTACAGGAACTGTATAGACTAGGTATGAGGCCAGTTTTCTCAAGGGGTTTTTATTGGCTCTATAAGTCAACTTTGATTCCTTAAAGGAGTCTGTTTGTATCTCAAAGAAAACCATTCCAGTCAAAGCCTTGGTAAAATAACCAGTGTCTCCAATTGTGTCCTGTTAAAAAAGAAAACAGATTCACATTGCACTTATGCAGATAACTATATTGCTATAAATTAAGAATACAAATAGTTTCCACATTTTGGAGAAATCCAGTAGAGAGAAATATACTCCAAATTTTGTTTACAGGAGTATTCTTTACTCAATTTTTAAAAGCTGTAAATAGCTCAGAAAAGTTGTCTTGGCTTCAAAAAACAAAACAAAGGGTTAGTAATTCTTTAAGCAAAAAGTCATAAAAGGATTATTTTAGTCTTCCATTAGTTCAGTTCATGTAGTTAACTCCTGTTCTGCTTCATATTCATGAACATTTAGCTCTCCATGAGAGTCCTGAAAGTTTTTTTCTTCTATTCTAATGTCACAATCTCCAAAGTTATTGGAAACCTGCATTTAAGAGCATGTGTTGGAGTCCTATAGCTGATTGTAAAATCACCTTTTATTTATTTATTTATTTACTTATGTATTTGAGATGGAGTTTCACTCTTGTTACCCAGTCTGGAGTGCAATGGCGTGATCTTGGCTCACTGAAACCTCTGCTTCCTGGGTTCAAGCAATTCTCCTGCTTCAGCCTCCCAAGTAGCTGGAATTATAGGCATGTGGCACCATGCCTGGTTAATTTTTGTATTTTTAGTAGAGATGTGGTTTCTCCATGTTGGTAAGGCTGGTCTTAAACTCCTGACCTCAGGTGATCTTCTTGCCTTGGCCTCCCAAAGTGCTGGGATTACAGGCATGAGCCACTGTGCCTGCCTGTTAAACCCATTTTTGAGCTACTTGGTATTTTCTATTTATGGAATGTGCCAAAATTTAAAAATGCTACCATAAAAGGCTCCCCTAAAGCTTCAGTGAAACCTGGCCCAGGTCTCAGATGCTTATGTGGTATAGTGTATACCAATCCAATTCTATCCTGTCTTATAACTTTAAGACATAAGAGGTTTTCTTTTTTATTTATTTTTTTATTATACTTTAAGTTCTAGGGTACATGTGCACAATGTGCAGGTTTGTTACAAATGTATACATGTGCCATGTTGGTGTGCTGTACCCGTTAACTCATCATTTACATTAGGTATATCTCCTAATGTTATCTCCCCCATCCCCCTACCCCACGACAGGCCCCAGTGTGTGATGTTCCCCACCCTGTGTCCAAGTGTTCTCATTGTTCAATTCCCACCTATGAGTGACAACATGCAGCGTTTGGTTTTCTGTCTTTGCGATAGTTTGCTCAGAATGATGGTTTCTTGCTTCATCCATGTCCCTAAAAAGGCCATGAACTCATCCTTTTTATGGCTGCATAGTATTCCATGGTGTATATGTGCCACATTTTCTTAATCCAGTCTATCATTGATGGACATCTGGGTTGGTTCCAAGTCTTTGCTATTGTGAATAGTGCTGCAATAAACATACATGTGCATGTGTCTTTATGGCAGCATGATTTATAATCCTTTGGGTATATGCCCAGTAATGGGATGGCTGGGTCAAATGGTATTTCTAGTTCTAGATCCTTGAGGAATCGCCACACTGTCTTCCATAATGGTTGAACTAGTTTACAGTCCCACCAACAGTGTAAAAGCATTCCTATTTCTCCACATCCTCACCAGCACCTGTTGTTTCCTGACTTTTTAATGATCGCCATTCTAACTGGTGTGAGATGGTATCTCATTGTGGTTTTGATTTGCATTTCTCTGATGGCCAGTGATGATGAGCATTTTTTCATGTGTCTGTTGGCTGCATAAATGTCTTCTTTTGAGAAGCGTCTGTTCATATCCTTTGCCCACTTATTGATGGGATTGTTTGATTTTTTCTTGTTAATTTGTTTGAGTTCATTGTAGATTCTGGATATTAGCCCTTTGTCAGATGGGTAGATTGTAAAAATTTTCTCCCATTCTGTAGGTTGCCTGTTCACTCTGATGGTAGTTTCTTTTGCTGTGCAGAAGCTCTTTAGTTTAATTAGATCCCATTTGTCAATTTTGGCTTTTGTTGCCATTGCTTTTGGTGTTTCAGTCATGAAGTCCTTGCCCATGCCCATGGCCTGAATAGTATTACCTAGGTTTTCTTCTAGGGTTTTTATGGTTTTAGGTCTAACATTTAAGTCTTTAATCCATCTTGAATTAATTTTTGTATAAGGTGTAAGGAAGGGATCCAGTTTCAGCTTTCTACATATGGCTAGCCAGTTTTCCCAGCACCATTTATTAAATAGGGAATCCTTTCCCCATTTCTTGTTTTTGTCAGGTTTGTCAAAGATCAGATGGTTGTAGATATGTGGTATTATTTCTGAGGGCTCTATTCTGTTCCATTGATCTATATCTCTGTTTTGGTACCAATACCACGCTGTTTTGGTTACTGTGGCCTTCCAGTATAGTTTGAAGTCAGGTAGCGCGATGCTTCCAGCTTTGTTCTTTTGGCTTAGGATTGTCTTGGCAATGTGGGCTCTTTTTTGGTTCCATATGAACTTTAAAGTAGTTTTTTCCAATTTTGTGAAGAAAGTCATTGGTAGCTTGATGGGGATGGCATTGAATCTATAAATTACCTTGGGCAGTATGGCCATTTTCACAATATTGATTCTTCCTACCCATGAGCATGGAATTTTCTTCCATTTGTTTGTGTCCTCTTTTATTTCGTTGAGCAGTGGTTTGTAGTTCTCCTTAAAGAAGTCCTTCACGTCCCTTGTAAGTTGGATTCCTAGGTATTTTATTCTCTTTGAAGCAATTGTGAATGGGAGTTCACTCATGATTTGGCTCTCTGTTTGTCTGTTATTGGTGTATACGAATGCTTGAGATTTTTGCACATTGATTTTGTATCCTGAGACTTTGTTGAAGTTGCTTATCAGCTTAAGGAGATTTTGGGCTGAGACGATGGGGTTTTCTAAATATACAATCATGTCATCTGCAAACAGGGACAATTTGACTTCCTCTTTTCCTAATTGAATACCCTTTATTCCTTTCTCTTGCCTGATTGCCCTGGCCAGAACTTCCAACACTATGTTGAATAGGAGAGTGGTGAGAGAGGACATCCCTGTCTTTTATTTTTTTTAATTTTTTATTTTATTTTATTTTATTTTTTTATTATACTTTAAGTTTTAGGGTACAAGTGCACAATGTGCAGGTTAGTTACATATGTATACATGTGCCATGTTGGTGTGCTGCACCCAGTAACTTGTCATATAACATTAGGTATATCTCCTAATGCTATCCCTCCCCAATCTCCCCACTCCATGACAGGCCCCAGTGTGTGATGTTCCCCTTCCTGTGTCCATGTGTTCTCATTGTTCAATTCCTACCTATGAGTGAGAACATGCAGTGTTTGGTTTTCTGTCCTTGCGATAGTTTGCTGAGAATGATGCTTTCCAGCTTCATCCATGTCCCTACAAAGGACATGAACTCATCATTTTTTATGGCTGCATAGTATTCCACGGTGTATATATGCCACATTTTCTTAATCCAGTCTATCATTGTTGGACATTTGGCTTGGTTCCAAGTCTTTGCTATTGTGAATAGTGCCGCAATAAACATACGTGTGCATGTGTCTTTACAGCAGCATGATTTATAATCCTTTGGGTATATACCCAGTAATGGGATGGCTGGGTCAAATGGTATTTCTAGTTCTACATCCCTGAAGAATCACCACACTGACTTCCACAATGGTTGAACTAGTTTACACTCCCACCAACAGCGTAAAATTGTTCCTATTTCTCCACATCCTCTCCAGCACCTGTTGTTTCCTGACTTTTTAATGATCGCCATCTATCTGGTGTGAGATGGTATCTCATTGTGGTTTTGATTTGCATTTCTCTGATGGCCAGTGATGATGAGCATTTTTTCATGTGTCTTTTGGCTGCATAAATGTCTTCTTTTGAGCAGTGTCTGTTCATATCCTTTGCCCACTTTTTGATGGGGTTGTTTTTTTCTTGTAAATTTGTTGGAGTTCATTGTAGATTCTGGATATAAAATCAATGTGCAAAAATCACAAGCATTCTTATACACCAATAACAGACAAACAGAGAGCCAAATCATGAGTGAACTCCCATTCACAATTGCTTCAAAGAGAATAAAATACCTAGGAATCCAACTTACAAGGGACGTGAAGGACCTCTTCAAGGAGAACTACAAACCACTGTTCAACAAAATAAAAGAGGATACAAACAAATGGCAGAACATTCCATGCTCATGGGTAGGAAGAATCAGTAAAGTGAAAATGGCCATACTGCCCAAGGTAATTTATAGATTCAATGCCATCCCCATCAAGCTACCAGTGACTTTCTTCACAGAATTGGGAAAAACTACTTTAAGGTTCATATGGAACCAAAAAAGAGCCTGCATTGGCAAGTCAGTCCTAAGCCAAAAGAACAAAGCTGGAGGCATCACACTACCTGACTTCAAACTATACTACAAGGCTACAGTAACCAAAACAGCATGGTACTGGTACCAAAACAGAGATATAGACCAATGGAACAGAACAGAGTCCTCAGAAATAATGCTGCATATCTACAACCATCTGATCTTTGACAAACCTGACAAAAACAAGAAATGGGGAAAGGATTCCCTATTTAATAAATGGTGCTGGGAAAACTGGCTAGCCATATGTAGAAAGCTGAAACTGGATCCCTTCCTTACATCTCATACAAAAATTAATTCAAGATGGATTAAAGACTTAAATGTTAGACCTAAAACCATAAAAACCCTAGAAGAAAACCTAGGCAATACCATTCAGGCCATAGGCATGGGCAAGGACTTCATGACTAAAACACCAAAAGCAATGGCAACAAAAGCCAAAATTGACAAATGGGATCTAATTAAACTAAAGAGCTTCTGCACAGCAAAAGAAACTACCATCAGAGTGAACAGGCAACCTACAGAATGGGAGAAAATTTTTGCAATCTACTCATCTGACAAAGAGCATCTCTGTCTTGTGCCGGTTTTCAAAGGGAATGCTTCCAGTTTTTGCCCATTCCATATGATATTGGCTGTGGGTTTGTCATAAATAGCTCTTATTATTTTGAGATACGTCCCATCAATACCTAGTTTATTGAGAGTTTTTAGCATGAAGGGCTGTTGAATTTTGTCAAAGGCCTTTTCTCCATCTACTGAGGTAATCATGTGGTTTTTGTCATTGGTTCTGTTTATATGATGGATTACGTTTATTGATTTGTGTATGTTGAACCAGCCTTACATCCCAGGGATGAAGCCCACTTGATCATGGTGGATAAGCTTTTTGATGTACTGCTGGATTCGGTTTGCCAGTATTTTATTGAGGATTTTTGCGTCGATGTTCATGAGGGATATTGGTCTAAAATTCTCTTTTTTTGTTGTGCCTCTGCCAGGCTTTGATATCAGGATGATGTTTGCCTCATAAAATGAATTAGAGAGGATTCCCTCTTTTTCTATTGATTGGAATAGTTTCAGAAGGAATGGTACCAGCTCCGACATAAGAGGTTTTCTAAGTGAAGCTTTGGTATTAGCTCTGTGGGCTCGAACAAGTGTAAATTCACTGAGGCACTTCCACTTGAAGACTTGTTTTCTGATTTTCTCATATTTGCCTCTAGGGTAGTGGGCCTCGTTTTGGTTACTGATGTTTGCATTCCTTTCTTTAGTGTCATGTTGAGTCACTAAGTAATTATCATCAAAGGGCCAAGGACATTAACATCATGGAACGGGGCTTGTACATGATTTTGGACTTTACACTGAGGCGTTGTCCTTCCACTTTCCTTATCCCCACGACTTCTCGTCTTTTGAAGCAGCCAGCTCTACCCTGGCTCCCTAGGCCTCACAGTCCCCTGGTGGCCCTGGGTATACTCAATACTAGAGTCCTATTTGTAGGATTTTGGGAAGAAAGGGATCAGAGGCAGCATAGGGCCTAGAGAACTATATCTCTATGCCCAGATTTCCTCCTGCCTTGTCTCAGGTCTGGAGAATCAATACTGTCTTTTTTGGCTCAGGTGCTGGTTGCTCACAGAGTCTTCAACTGTCTTCCCAGGGCTCACCTCTCCTCAGAGCTTTTGCACTACTCCTCCCATCCTTTATTTTCTAGAATCATATTTTCAAAAGGTTTCTCACTGGTTTTGTCCTTTTAAAAATTTGAGGCCAGGCGCGGTGTCTCATGCCTGTAATCCCAGCACTTTGGGAGGGCGAGGTGGGTGGATCACCTAAGGTCGGGAGTTCGAGACCAGCCTGGCCAGCACGGTGAAACTCTGTGTCTACTAAAAAAAATACAAAATATTAGCTGGGTGTGGTGGCAAGCACCTATAATCCCAGCTAGTCAGGAAGCTGAGGCAGGAGAATCACTTGAACCTGGGAGGCAGAGGTTGCAGTAAGCTGACATCCCGTCATTGCACTCCAACCTGGGCTACAGAGTGAGACTCTGTCTTAAAACAAACAAACAAAAATTTGATATTGGCTGGGCATGATGGCTCACGCCTGTAATCCCACCACTTAGGGAGGCCGAGGCAGGTGGATCGCCTGAGGTCAGGAGTTCAAGACCAGCCTGGCCAACGTGGTGAAACCGCATCTCTACTAAAAATACAAAAATTAGCGGGTGTGGTGGTGGGCCCCTGTAATTCCAGCTACTCGGGAGGCTGAGGCAGGAAAATTGCTTGAAACTGGGAGGCAGAGGTTGCAGTGAGCCAAGATCACACCACTTCACTCCAGCGTGAGCGAAAGAGCAAGACTCCATCTCAAAAAAAAAAAAAAAAAGATAAAAATAAAAATCTGATATTTTAGCTACTGTCGTTGGATCTCAGTAAGGCCTCTGCACCCATTCCCTCCCTTTGTGATTCATCCATGGACATCCACCTCCATTGATTTGAAAACTATCTCAGCAATATTCCTTGCCTTCTTCCGCCTCCAGCCGATCTCTCACTCCATCCCACCTGCCTGTTGTTCTCCCTTATGGAATAAAGACATGTCCCACACTTTAGAGATTAAAAAAAGATAAAAAAAAAAAAAAAGAGGGTGGACGTGTCAAGATCACACAGAGCTGGGAATGTGGTAAGCCCTTGAAACTGGGTCTCAACAACAAGGCTGCCTTCCAGAGATTGCTAATATCTGAGAGTCCCAGTGAGCTGGGGTGAACCCAGGGCCTAAGAATGGCTCTCTGGTTCCACCACTTCCAAAGCCACACCCAGTGCACATGGCCTGAGGCTTCCATGGTGATGGTAAAGAAACCTCCCCTGCTGCCTCTCCCAATACTGCCGAGTCCCCTCTCATCTTATTCATGCTAAATGTACAGATGTGATCAATAGAATCAAAGGGAAATCGAGCCCTGAGGAGAGGGCCAGACTCCGGGAGGAGAGGGGTTGGAGTCAAACGGGGGGATCTGCAGCTCTGAGTGCAGGGGCTTCAAACCTTAAGAGCTCGACAGCAGTGTGAAGTGGAATCGGGGGGAATGAGGTCCAAGTTTATGTTGGGAAGAATATAAGCATGATTTGGAGATTCCTGGTGTTCATGTGTCCCCAACAAGTACAGCTGGGAGGCACTGGAGGAAAGATTGGTGCTAGAAGTTCATGTGGGAACAGGGCAGACCCTTGGATAAATGTGGGGTCTCTTAGGCATTGCAGGGGTTTGAATAGAGGCCCTAACACTGTGGTGGGGATAGTGCCAAAGAACTCCAACATGTATTTTATCAGGGGTTTAACATAAATATCAATTCTGGAGAAAATCGGCACCAGGAGTTAAAATCTCATTTAATCTTCTATAAGATGCTATATATGTGGAAAACAAAGTTAAGTGTCAAATTATTACCAAATTGCTGCAACAAATGACCAATGCAGCAATCCCGCATAGCTATAAGGGCTCAGGGAACAGAGGGGGTCACCATCACCCTGGGAGAAGGAGACAGCACAGAAGAAGGTCTGTGACTCAGCTCAAAGACAGGAAAATGGTTTTGTGGGCAGGCAATGAGGAAAGGGGGACAGAGTTGCAGTTTTCTGAGATAAAGCCTCTTAGGTGTTTTTTGACTACTTGATTGTTCCCTGTGAATGTATAAGTTTGATTTTAAAAATAAATAGAGAAGAGCCTCTTTCCTGACACCACCCAATCTCTGAGCCCCACAGATGATGTTCTAGTTTCTTGCAGGAGGTTCTGGTCCCACCTGCCTGCTCCCTTCTAAGACAACCCCACCAGCAAGGAGGTCTTCTAGTTCTTTCTGTGAGTGTTCTCTTGCTGGTCCTGGCTTGGGCCCCTGGGCCCAGGAACCTCTGGGTTCTCTCAGCTACACTTCCATCCGTGGTCCCCAACCTCAGTGTCCAGGATGCTGTGGCTGACCTCCTGGAGGGAGTGTGGCTCCTCACAGGTATCTACCTTGTAGTGCATCAGGCCAGGCCTCCTGCGGCAGCTCTCTGATGACCGAGTGTGGTGGGGATGCTAAGGCCAGGCTGGTTGCCCAGACCTACTTTGCTGCCTGACTGTTTCAAATAGTTGGTGAAGGCTCTGGATTTTCCTCAGAACTGTGGTCCGGAGTGCTCCCACCCCTTCTCTTCCCCTCTCTCCCTCACATTGGGAGTGAGACTTGCTTCATGGTCCGGTGGCTCTCCCAGTCTTTTGTAACTCTTTTCACAAAGGTATATCTCCCACTAAAACCCTTGCAATTTAATCCTGTCTTGGTGTCTGCTTCTCAGAAGAGCTGGATAACACACTCCAACCCTTCTCTCAGTCCCTGCAGCCCCTGTGGTGGGGTTGACTGTGGGTGACCACAGAGCCAGGCTGGCCTCGTCCAAACCGCAGGCTGCTACTTCACAAGGCCTGACCCCACTAAGAACTGTGTTTCTCCATGTTTCTGCTGGTCATATCCAGTGCATCTAGATTGCCTTTTTTTTTTGAGATGGAGATTCGCTCTTGTTGCCCAGGCTGGAGTGCAATGGCATGATCTTGGCTCACTGCAACTTCCGCCTCCCAGGTTCAAGCAATTCTCCTGTCTCAGCCCCCCGAGTAGCTGGAATTACAGTCATGAGCCACCACACTCGGCTAATTTTGTATTTTTAGTAGAGACAGGGTTTCTCCTTGTTGGTCAGGCTCGTCTCAAACTCCTGACCTCAGGTGATCCACCCGCCTTGGCCTCCCGAAGTGCTGGGATTACAGGCGTGAGCCACCATGCCTGGCTCATTTTTTTTTCTTTTTTAAGTAGAGATGGGGTTTTGCCATGTTGCCAAGGCTGTTCTGGAACTCCTGAGCTCAAACAGTCCTCCCACCTTGGCCCCCCAAAGTGCTGAGATTACAGGTGTGAGCCACCACACCCGGCCTGGACTACCAATCTTGATGGCAACATTAGACTGGGGGCCACTGTAGTCATAACAGTGGTGGACCAGGCAGCAGAGTCTTGTCTTCAGTACCATGGACACCGCAGCATCCAGTGCTAGCAGGTATTTTAGAATGCAGGGTCAGATGCATTCTAACCCTCCTCTGCCCTCCCTGAGAGGGCGACCCCAATCCTCCGCCCCTCCCTGCAGCTGCTAGGCAGGCCTCCTGCGCTCTTCACTGCCTCTAGCAGCGTCTTGAAACAGCTGGCTCTGGAAGGCATCCTGATTCTGGATTCAAGAGCTTTGCTTGGATTTCTGTATGAAGGTGTGAAGTGTGAATGCCACCTTTTCTGAGTTACATTTTCATTTTCTGTTGCAAACTTGGGACGTTTACTGAGGGACACTGAATAGTTGGGGGGTGGATGGGGCGAGGGAGGCAGTGGCTAGAAGGAAGGAAGGAAGCATTATAGCAGGGGGGCTCTCTGGGACAGGGCATAGGACAGAGATGGCTCCAGGAGGATTTCACAGGAAAGAATGAGGGGTGGGATGTAGTGATGTCACAAGAGTCCCACTGTGACCCCTCCCCCATCATTGGAGCAAGGACTGGCTAAGCCTGAGCAAGGGTGGGGGAAATAAATAAGGCACTGTTGCCAGGGCCTGAGCCCAGCAGGAAAAGGGTGTGTGCAGAGGGAGGGCCTCGGGTCCTGCTGCTCCTCCTGGACTCCTTCATCCCAATCCCTTCACATCCTTCTCTGACAAGGACTCCCACGTCCCTCCCCGGCTAACCTGGATCCTGCTCAACCCAACACCTGCCTTCTCTCGGTCCCTGGGTTCCCGCAGGCCTTGGGGCCCCACAGTCATATCTGCTGTTCCTGCAGGTCAGTGGCCAGGGTGGGGGTGGGTGTTGGTGCAAAGGAAACCTCTTGAAAGGGGCAGAGCACAGATGGGGCCTCCACCAGTCTTGCTGGGTGAGGGCTTCCCACCATCCTGGAATCCTCTCCTGGGTCTCTAGTTGACCACCCTCCTGCCTCCCCTTTTTCCTTGTTTTGGTCCTGCTGTTGGATTTCTTTTAAAATCCTCCTGCCTCCAGCCTCCCTTGATGATCAGTTCCTGCCTGGGGTCACCAGGCTGCTTCAAATTGGGGTGACCATGGTAGGGATGGTGACTTGAGATTCCTGGGCCATAATGCAGGTGAGAAATGTGCCCTACAGAGTAAAAAGGAACAGTGTCACTGCTGGGTCATTTTGAAGATGGGACTTAGGCAACACATGTCCCTTAAATCCAGTCTCTGAGGGTACCACAAATACCATGTTTTTTTTTTCAAATTCTAGCAGAGAGGTTGTACTGGGTTGAGAGAGAGGCCTCAGAATCAAGACCTTGTCTCCTGCCACAGTTTCCCTGGTGAAGCTCCCAGGCTGAGCACAAACTTCCAGGTCGAGCACAGAAGTTTCGACCTGGAAACTTCAGCCCTCAGAGAGGAGGTGGCACTAACGCTCTAGGTGGGCGGCTGCTCTATGGTCTTCTGCTGCCTGGAGAGCTTTGCCTCCATCACTGGTGCCCACCTGGGGAATGCTCAGGAACTACTCTTCAAAAGTACACTCGGATGCCCACTCTGCAAAGCCATTTTGTTTCCTTATTGTACCTCTGAAATCATTTGTTAACCAAGCATTTGCAAATCCGTCTGTCTTCTGTGTATGGCATATCTATAGACACTGCGGGTGAAAAACAAGGGCAAGACTCGATTCCTTTTCTTGCTTGCTTGCTTGCTTTCTTGCTTTCTTTGCTTTCTTGCTTTCTTTTCTTTTTTCTTCTTTTTCTTTTCTTTTTTTTTTTTTTGGAGACAGTTTTGCTCTTGTTGCCCAGGCTGGAGTGCAATGGTGCAATCTTGGCTCACTGCAACCTCCGCCTCCAGGGTTCAAGCAATTCTCCTGTTTCAGCCTCCCAAGTAGCTGGGATTACAGGCTCATGCCACCATGTCTGGCTAATTTTTGTATTTTTAGTAGAGATGGGGTTTCATCATATTGGTCAGGCTGGTCTCGAACTCCTGACCTCAGGTGATCCACCCGCTTCAGCCTCCCAAAGTGCTGGGATTACAGGTGTGAGCCACTGCACCTGGCCCTATTCCTTTTCTTAGGGAGCTCACAGTTCACTGGATGAGACAGAAGGAAGCTGATTCTGAAAGGAAACAGGGTGTGGTAAAGATAGGTCAGAGGGGTGAGCACAGAGGGGATCAAGAGAAGGGGGTGAAAGACCATTGTCATCAGTGCAGCCTTTTTGGGGAGCAATGTGTGAGCTGAGCTTTGGGAAGAAATGAGGTTTTAATGAGTGTGGGAGGAGAGCCCTCCTGAGATATGTGGAGAGACCAATGCCCCTCTTCCCTGCTGCTCCCCCTCTTGAAGCAGTTCCCTTCTTCCCTCTGTCCCAGCTCGGCACAGTCACAGCAACTCTCCAAATCATGACGCTCAAAATGCCACATCTAAAAAGAACATCCGGGTAGGTGCCTCTGCTTCTTCTGACTTGACCCCCCTTCCCTGCCCTCTTTGGGTCTCATGCAGTTCTTTCCCCTCACCCAACCTCCACACTCCCTTGACAGCAGTTGAAAACATTTGCTCTCTGAATCCCCATCTGCTTGTATATGATTCGTATCCTCTGTGAGTCAACAAGGTGAATATATTCCTCATTTGGTTGAGGGATTTTTTAAAAACATCTCCAACAGGCTCTGCCCCTAAGAAAGAATTCATGCACCTACAAAGAGGAAGGAACGGCACAGCCATCCACCTTTCAACTCCTGAGTTTCCATCTGCACCCTTCAACACTTATTAGGACTTACATGAAACTATGTGACATCTTTTTATTTCTATTAAACAAAATACAGCTTTCTTCCTTGTATCTGAAGAAGTTGGCACCCTCTACACAGAACAGGAGGCCCACAGTTCCAGCAGTTATTGTATACATCACTGACCACGTTAATGACTCCACAAAATCAATCCTGGGCCCACCAAATATTCTGTTGAAGATTAAATTATAAAATTAAACTCCAGCAACATGCATACACAGTTAATAAACTCAGGGAAAAGATCAAAATGGGACCTACATAAAAATTTTTTAAACTTTTTATTTATTCTGTTTCTCATGCTCGCTGAGGCTGGAGTGCAGTGGTGTGATCTCTGCTCACTGCAATCTCCGCCTCTGGGGTTCAAGCAATTCTCCTGCCTCAGCCTCCCGCGTAGCTGGGACAAGTGCATGCCACCATTCCTGGTTAATTTTTGTATTTTTAGTAGAGACGGGGTTTTGCCGTGTTGGCCAGGTTAGTCTTGACTCCTAGCCTCAAGTGATCTACCTGCCTCAGCCTAACAAAGTGTTGGGATTACAGGGAATGAGCCACCCGGCCCAGCTTTTTTTTTTTTTTTTCCTTGAGACAGGGTCCCTCTGTGTCATCCAGGCTGGAGTGCAGTGGCTCAATCATGGCTCACTCTAGATTGGACTTCCTGGGCTCAAGTGATCCTCCCACCTTAGTCTCCAGAGTAGCTGGTACTACTCAAACTGTACACAAAAATTAATTCGAAATGCATCAGAGACTTAAATATGAGAACTAACTATAAAGCTTTTTGAAGAAAACATAGATAAACATAGATAAATCTTTGTGACTTTGGATTAGGAAGCGATTTTTTTTTTTTTTTTTTTTGAGACAGAGTTTTGCTCTTGTTGCCCAGGCTGGAGTGCAATGGCACAATCTCGGCTCACCACAAGCTCCGCCTTCTGGGTTCAAGCAATTCTCCTGCCTCAGCCTCCCAAGTAGCTGGGATTACAGGCGTGTGCCACCACGCCTTGCTAATTTTGTATTAGAGACGAGGTTTCTCCATGTTGGTCAGGCTGGTCTCCAATTCCCGACCTCAGGTGATGTGCCCACCTCGGCCTCCCAAAGTGCTGGGATTACAGACGTGAGCCACTGCGCCCGGCCACGATTTCGTAAATATGACACCAAAAATAAAAGTGGCCGAGCATGGTGGGTCACGCCTGTAATCCCAGCACTTTGGGAGGCCAAAGCGGGAGGATCCCTTGATCGCAGGAGTTTGGACCAGTCTGGGCAACATAAGGGGACCCTGTGTCTACAAAACAAAATAAAAAAATTAGCTGGGTATGGTGGCATGTGCCTTCAGTCCCAGCTACTCCAGCTACTCCAGAGGCTGAGGAGGGAGGATCACTTAAGCTGAGGAGGTCAAGGCTGCAGTAAGCCATGATTGCACCACTGCACTCCAGCCTGGGTGACAGAGTGAGACCCTGTCTCAAAAAAAAGAAAAAAGTACAAGTGGCAAAAACAAAATTGGACTTCACCAAAATTTAAAAAAATTGACTTCAAATAACACCACCCAGAAAGTAAAAAGACAAGCCATAGGATGGGAGAAAAACCTGGCAACTTGTTTATCTCATGAGGGACTTGTATTAGAATACACAGGGAACTCTTACAACTCAACAAAAGGAAAATAACCTAAGTGAAAAATGAGTGAAAAATGTGCATGGACATTTCTCCAAAGATAATACACAAATTGCCAATAATCACATGATATGATGCTCAACACCATTAGTCATTAGGGAAAGGCAAATCAAACGCACAATGAGATGCCACCTTCTACCCCTTAGGATGGCTATGATAAAATCTACAGACAAGAACAAGTGTTAGCAAGGATGGAGGAAAAAACCCTCATCACTGCTGGTGGGAATGTGAAATGGTGCAGCCACTTTAGAAAACAGATTGGCGGCCAGGTGCTGTGTCTCATGCCTGTAATCCCAGCAATTGGGAGGCCAAGATGGGTGGATTGCCTGAGGTCAGGAGTTCGAGAGCAGCCTGGGCAACATGATGAAACCCTGTCTCTACAAACAAACAAACAAACAAACAAAGAAACAAACAAAAAAACATTATGCAGGCATGGTGGCATGTTCCTGTAGTCTCAGCTACTTAAGGAGCTGAGACAGGAGGGTCACTTGAGCCCAGGAGGTTGATGCTGCAGTGAGTGGTGTTTGTGCCATTGCACTCCAGCCTGGGTGACAGAGTGAGACCACATCTCTGAAAAAAAAAAAAAAGAAAAAAAAAAAAAAAGAAGAGGGGAAACAGGTTGGCAATTCCTCTCAAAAACTACACAGTTATACTTTGACCCAGAAATTATACTCCTACTTATATAAGCAGAAATGAAAACATAAATCTACACAAACTTCTACACAAATGCTCATAGCAGCTTTATTCATAATAAACAGAAGTGGAAACAGTTCAAAAGTCCATCAGCTGATGACTGGATAAATATCATATATGCATACAAGGGAATATTTTTCAGTAAAAAACTAAGTTCTGGGCCAGGTGAGGCATCTCATGCCTGTAATGCTGATGCTTGCACCCGTGCAAGCATAGGTATTGCACAGGCTGAAGAAGGAGGATGGTTTCACCCCAAGAGTTCAAGACCAGCCTGGACAACATAGCAAGACCCCTTTCTCTACATATATATAGAAAATGTTCTCAAATTAGATGGTGCCGATGATTGCACAATTCTGTGACTATACTAAGAACCAGTGTATATTCTATTTTATTTCATTTTATTTTAGAGACAGGGTCTCACTCTGTCACCCAGGCTGGAGTGAAGTGGTGCGATTTCAGGTCACAGCAACTTCTATCTCCCAGGTTCAAGCGATTCTCCTGCCTCAGCCTCCCGAGTACCTGGGATTACAAGCACACACAACTATGCCTGGATATTTTTTGTATCTTTAGTAGAGACAGGGTTTTGCCATGTTGGCAAGGCTGGTCTTGAACTCATGACCTCAGGTGACCCGCCACCCCCATCCCCGCTGCCCCCTCGGCCTCCCAAAGTGCTGGGATTACAGGCGTGAGCCACCGCGCCGGGCCCATTGTACATTTTAAATGGGCGAATTACATCGTGTGTGAATTATAACTTAATAAAGCTGCTGGGAAAAAAAAGAAGATAAAAAAGTGAGGTGGATTAAAGGGCCCATAGAGGAAGCCACCTGACCCCCGGCCTGGCCTCCTTCTCGGCTCTTCCTCTCCGGGGGCCCAACAGGGCTGTGCGTTTGACAGGCAGTTGGGAGACCCTGGTGGCCGGTTTTGGTCGGTCACGTGGGCACGCGGCTGAGCCAATCAGAATCTCCCGGCAGTTGGTTCCCGGAGGCAGAATCTGTTAAACTGACAAAGCCCACGTCTCCGGGTCCCTGTCTCGGGGAGTCGGGACTATTGGGTCACCCCGGGTAGTCGAGACTCTAGACTGAGCTGTCTCGGTCACTCAGGAGGCAGTTGGCAGAGTATTCGTGGTCAGGGAGGTGACCCGTGGTCAGCAGGGTCAGGCCACCCAGGGACAAAGGGTGCTCCTGCACCGGGCCTTGGAGAAGGACAGAGCGGTGGGGACTTGGGGTCAGCGGGGGAGCCTCCGCGGATGGGGAGTCACCACCTGCCGGGTAAGAGGGGACTCATCACAGGGGCCGGAGCAAGACAAGCCCTCCCTCCCGGCTCAGGCCGGGTCCCAGGCTGGACCCCTCCCTGTCTCACAGGGCCGGCCTCCTTCGGAGCTGGCTGGGATGGAAAGGGGAAGTAGGAGGAGCTCAGGACACAGGGATTGGGGCCGATCCTGGGGTCTGAGCTGTGGGGTGAGGAGGGGATCGCCTGTCCCCTGGGGAGTGACGATGTCACCCAGCCGTGGCCGTTGCGGAGGTCATGATCTGAACCTTGACAGGTAACCCCAGGGCTGCCTTCCTGTTCTTCTCCTGGGCTGTCAGGGGACACCCTGCTCTGTTTTGTTTTTAAGTGACCAGAGACAGACACGTAACATAGAAAACGCTATCACTTTGATCATTTGTTTCGAATGGAAGAAAAACCGACACAAGTGGGTTTCTGGTGGGAAGCGCTTCCCTCCAACTCCAGGAACTCCATCAAGGAGTTAAGAAAGCACAGAGTCCTGTCAGCAGCCAGAGACATGCTGGGCAGTGGTGACCTCGGAGCCACCCCGCGACATGGAGATCTCGAGCTCCGCCCTCCGTGCAGGGAGATTCCTTTTGGAAAAAATCTCTGGCAGAGTGGGAGGGTGTAGGGGCCAGCCACATACATGCTTGCTGCTAGGACCCCTTAGCCATGGGCAGGGTGGGCACAGTGACCAGGGCCAGGAAACTTACAGGCCCACCAAAGAGTGTCAATTTCAGTCAGAAGAAAAAAAAATTGAACTATGTGATTTTTTTTTTTTTTAAGACGCAGTCTTGCTCTGTCGCCCAGGCTGGAGTGCAGAGGCGTGATCTCGGCTCACTGCAAGCTCCTCCTCCCGGGTTCACGCCATTCTCCTGCCTCAGCCTCCCGGGTAGCTGGGACTACAGGAGCCCGCCACTGCGCCCGGCTAATTTTTTCTGTATTTTTAGTAGAGATGAGGTTTCACCGTGGTCTCGATCTCCTGACCTCGTGATCCACCCGCCTCGGCCTCCCAAAGTGCTGGGATTACAGGTGTGAGCCACCACGCCTGGCCTATGATATTAATATATTTATCATTATACCAGTAACTCATAAAATCAAATTTCAAACTTTTTCTTTCTTTTTTTTTTTTTTTTTTTTGAGACAGAGTCTTGCTGTGTTGCCAGGCTGGAGTGCAGTGGCTCCATCTCGGCTAACTGCAACCTCCTCCTCCCAGGTTCAAGCCATTCTTCTGCCTCAGCCTCCCGAGTAGCTGGGACTACAGCCACCCACCACCACGCCTGGCTACTTCTTTGTATTTTAGTAGAAACAGGGTTTTACCGTGTTGGTCAAGATGGTCTCGATCTCCTGACCTCGTAACCTGCCCGCCTTGGCCTCCCGAAGTGCTGGGATTACAGGTGTGAGCCACCGCACCCAGCAAACTTCAAACTTTTTAATGGAACAAGGACACACAGGCATTAATCCCCAGTGTCCATCAAAGTTGCAATGCAGCCCTAACGCCTGGCATCCTTGAAAGGGATGTGCATTTAGTAATGAGATTTGCTCAGCAGCGTAGTCAGCTGTGTGGTGCATTCTCAGCTGTGCCTCAGCAGCCCTGATGCAGACATCCAGAAGGAGCACAGCCACTTTATCCAGAGGTGAAGTTTTGCAGCAAGACAGCATTCATAGGGGGAGTTCTCAACAAATGTCAGTCCCCAAAAAGGGAACTGGCTTTATTATGGTCATTAGGATATTCACTCGTAGAGAACAGGACCTGACAGACAAAGCAAAGAATGAATACTAAGATTAGAAGTATTTGGCACATTTGGGATGAGAAGGAGGCACAGTGGGAAAGTGTTGAGTTGAAATCAAACTTGGGTTAAATGTGCTCAGTTTTGCCCAGGATCATTCTTGGCCACAGGACTCAGTTTGCTGAGCAGGTACACAACACACAAGGATACAAGCAGCCATTGCACACAGACACACCCACATCAGACACAACCTGCTCTCCTCTCCTCCCTGCACCAAGAGGCACATGTGGCAGGGGTCCTGGTGGAGCACTTCCAGGAGGAATGTCTGGGGACCCTCATGTGAAGGGAACTCCGTGTCAAGGCACCCCCTTTCCTCAGCCACAGTGAGCTCTTGGGAGCTGGGCAATGGTGTGGGAGAGGTTGTGGGGGATAGCAAAGCAGGGGAACCAGCCTGGAATTGTCTCAGAGAAAGACCAGGCCACTAAGAGTGCAGATGGAGACATGAGACATCCAAGGGAGGGAGGAGAGGGGACCCCCTCGTGAAACTGGGGCTCACGTAAACCTGCATCAAGCACTGCGGCAGTGTTCAATCAGAAATGCTGCCCAGTACCCAGGTGGGGCACATACATGCTCAACACGTGAAAAATATCTGTTCTGATTTGTGCTTCAGGAGAAGAGTTAATGTCTCCTTCATCTTTCTCTCTAGCAATCAGCCATGACTGCCTTTGCACTGTCCATGCTCTCAGCCCACCACCTCCTCCCCCTGCCATTGCAGTGGCTAACACTGGAGACGAAGACCAAGACACCACAGCCTTTCTCCAGTACCTCTCAAATCAGCACAGACAAGGACAAAGGCCTCAATCCACAACTGCTGAAGATGGACCCTGGCCACATGGGATGGTCAGACACGCCTGCCCAGCTATCTGCAGGCGAAGAGGCTCAGAAGAGGTTTAGGGGCCTGAAGGACATCTTGCTTCCATGTCCATATGAGCAGGCTATTTCTGCTCCATGAGTCAATTTTGCCATATAAAATACTTAATTTCAGCCATTCCAGGGTGCTATAGGATGCACAGCTTCCCATCAGCCCACCTGAACTCCAGCCATGCCATTTTAATACCAGGAATAAGGTCACCTGCTTTCCTGCCCCTTAGGAGGCCGGAGCCGTGGAAGCAAAATGGCACTTCTGTTTACCTGTTATATTATTTTTTTGTCATCCTTATATGTTTGAAAAATGCAATTATATGAAAAAAGTTTAGTAATTACAGACATAACAGCAGAAAGTCCTCGGAACCAAGCTTATTCTCATGGCCGATTCTGCTCCACCTGGGACTCTGCTGTGCTGCGGGCATCCTGTGGTCAGAATCGCAGAGGGGCCATCAGGGAGGACCTTCCCAGAGGATGGACCTCACGTGACTGCTGCGTGGGCAAGTGGCACTGGCCACTCTGCCTGGAGAGAGGAGTAAATGCAGGGCTGGCCAGGCGACCTGCACACTCTGCTACCGGCCTTGTCCATCTTTAGCCTCTAATTTGAAAATGAGGATCACACAGACCAAGAGTATCTTTGAGGGTTAGTACAGACCACAGAAATGCCCTGGGCCTTTCACTCTCTCCTTTTGCAAATTCCCATGTGTGGAAATGCCGTTTGGATAATGAGGGAGCCTGAAGGAGGTGGACACATGAGCAGCCCCGACAGGCCTGGCTCCATCCTCTGAAAATGGGGCCCCGTGCCCGGCGTGTGGCCTTACTGGTTCAGTCTTCTTTACAGTGGTAGGTTTTGAGTGCCCAGATGCCCAGTGCCTCCTACCCGGAACAGGACAGGACCAGGCTGTCCCCTGGAAGAATCCCATGCACACTTGGCTATTCAGGGAGTTTCCACCCAGCCGAGCTCGCCTCTGTGGCTACCCTGGTCTTGCTGCTCATATCTGCCAGGAAAGGCCTGGACTTGGAGAGAAACCTGGGATTTGGATTCAGTCCTTGCCAGCCTGGCTGGTTCATATCCTTACCTCTGTCTGTGGAAGCCTATGTTCCTGAGCAGCGAGTCAGAGGGGGCATCTGAACGCAGAGCAGGGAGCTTCAGATGGGAAGAAGTCAGAGGAACCAGAATGTATCAGACGATGTGGAGTTGGGTGCCTGAGCTCAAAGCAAGCTGGGCCTTGGGCTGGCTGTGTGATCTTGGGCAAGTTCGACCAGCTTCTTTGTGCCTCTTTTCTCTCCTTAATAAGATAAATGTCTTCACTAGTACACTGAGGGCTGCCATTAAGTTCTATGTGCAGGGATCCAAGGCAGGCCCTAGGTCTCTTGGTGAGTGCTACTCCTCCTTACAATTTGCTGCCCGGAGCAACATTGGGTGACAGAACTTCTTAGCACCTTGGCAGTCCTTGTCCTCCTGGACCCTCTGTTTTGAGGGTGGAATGAGGTGAAGGGCAAGTGCTTTCCCAGCTGGTCAGGTGCTCTACCAACTGGGCATATTCTAATCCCCCCAGAGTATACAGATCAGAGTTTGATGTGGCCAATGGGTCCAATGCCCAAGTGAGAATCTCTTGATGAAGTTATTGGTGTGGGGTTTTGCTTTGGTTTTTAATTATAGAGAGCAAAAGTATTGAAAGTATTACATTTACCCTAAAGGTGTAAGCAAGTTATGGTCAAGTGAAGATGAAGTACCATCCTCAAACACGGGTTCCATTCTTAGCTCATCTCATTTAAAGGAGAGAAAAGCCTTGCAGGTGAAACATGGTGGGGGTAGACAGGGGTTCAGCCAATTTCAGTGTTTGGCCCCAAGAAGTGAATTTGGGTTTGAGGACCTCTCTCTGGAAGGATTTTATGACCAGATCTTCCTGGAGATGATATTAGAAGCTTTTCTCACCAAATATTTATTTGCCTGGGGTGCAACTTCTGCTTCATTCTCTCTTTGACTCCAGCTGTCTTTTTGGACTGAAGTGCAGGTTGCTCACAGCATCCTACAAAGTAACTGTCTTCCCAAATCTCACTTACCTCTGAGTTTCTGCTGTATTCCTGTCTTTCTCTCTCTCTTTTTGAACTGGAATCTATTACTTTGGATGATGCATGCTGGCGTTTTCTAAAGTTTTCTGATTGATTGTGTCTTTAAAAAATAATCTGATAGTATTTTAGCTTCTTGAATTTTGTGGCATATTTTTAGGCCTCTCCTAAACCCATTTTTGAGTGCTATGACATTGTTCATGTATGAAGTTATGCCAGTAGAAACAAAATGCTGTCATATAGGCTCCCCTAAAACTTCAAATCTGGTCCAGATCTTAGACTGGCAGCTTCTGCTGTCATTGGATCTCAGTGAGACCTTTGCACCCATTTCCTCCCTTTGTGATTCATCCACGGACATCCCCATCTCCTTGAGAACAATCTCAGGAATATTCCTTGCCTTCTTTCGGCTCTCACTCCATCTCATTTTCTGCTGTTCACTCGGGAATAAAGAGATGTCCCACACTTTAAAGAGTAAAAACAAAAATTGGAGCTCAGAGAGGGTGAACTTGTCAATATCACACAGAGCTGGGAGTGTGGTAAGCCCTTGAAATGGGGCTCAATGACACCGCTACCTCCCAGGGATTCCTAATGTCTGAGGGTTCCAGTGAGCTGAGATGAACCCAGGGCCTAAGAAGAACTCTCTGACCTCCTCACCTCCAAAGCCCCACCCAGTGCACATGGCCTGAGGCGTCCATGGTGATGGTAAAGAAACCTCACCTGCCATCTCTCCCATTACTGCCATGTCCCCTCTCATCCTATTCTGTGCCAAATGTCCAGATGTGATCAATAGAATCAGGAGAAAATTGAGGCCTGAGGGGAGGGGGCCAGACTCTGGGAGTGGAGAGTGGATTGAAGTCAGACTAGGGCTGTTCAGCAAGGAGTTCAGGGCCTTCAAGTGTTGGGAGCTTGGCAGCAATGCCAAGGGGAATGGGGGTGGATTTGGGTCCAAGTTTATGTTCGAAGAATATAAGCATGATTTGGAGACTCCTGATGTTCATATGCCCCCATCAAGCAGAGCTAGGGGTCGCCAGAGGAGAGAATGGTGCTAGAAGTTCAGGTGAGAACAGGGCAGACCCCTGCATAAATGTGGGATCTCTCTGTTTGAATCACGGCCCAAACACCGTGGCAGGGACACTCCCAAGGAACTCAAACATGTATTTTATCAGGGCTTTAACATAAGGAATATTGATTCTTAAGAAAATTGGAAACATATGAGAATCTAATTTACTCTGTTATGAGATGCCATACACCTGGAAGAACAGGTTAACTGTCAAATTACTACCAAATTGTTGCAAAAAATTGCCAATGAAGCAATCATACAAAGCTCAGGTAACAGAGTGGGTGGCCATCACTCTGGGAGAGGGAGATAGCACTGGAGAAGGTCCTTGTGACTCAGATCAAAGAGAGCAAATGGCAAAGAAGGGGGACAGTTGCTGTTTTCTGAAGTAAAGCCTCTTAGGTGTTATTTGACCATTTGTTACCTGTGAATGTATAATTTTGATTTTTAAAATAAGTAGAAAGGAGCCTCTTTCTTAAAACCAACCAATCTCTGAGCCCCACAGATGGTATTCTGGTTTCTTGCAGGAGGTTCTGGGTCCCACCCGCCTGCCCCCTTCTAGGACAACCCCACCAGCAAGGAGGTCTTTTAGTTCCTTCTGTGTGTGTTCACCTGCTCGTCCTGGCTTGGGCCCCAGGGAGCCCAGGAACCTCAGGGTTCTCTCAGCTGCACTTCCATCCGTGGTGCCCAACCTCAGTGCCTAGGACTCTGTGTGCCTGACCTCCTCCAGGCGGGGCTGCTCCCTCCAGGTGTCCACCTGGTATGGGCATCCCGTGGCAGCTCTCCTCTGATGACCGAGTGTGGTGGGGGTGCTAAGGCCAACTTGCTGCTGGCACGCCCAGAACTTATTTGCTGGCTGTTTCAAAGACTCCCTAAAGGCACCATGGATTTTCCTTAGAATACAGTTCTGTGCAGTCCCGCCCATCCTCTTCCCCTCTGTTTCCCACTAGGGCTGATACTTGCTTTAAGGTCTGATGGCTCACCCAGTCCTTCATAATTTTCACAATGTTATGTTCCTTCCTAAAACCCTTGCAGTTTAATCTGCTCTTGGCGTCTGCTTCTCAGAGGAGCTGAGGAACAGAGACTTCAACCCTTCTTCTCTCAGTTCCTGCTGCCCCTGTAGTGAGGCTGACAGTTGCAGACCATAGAGCCAGCCTGGCCTTGCCCAGAGCATACATGACCTCTTAGTAAGGCTGGGCCCTGCTAAGGGCTATGTTTTGCACACGTTCCTGCTAGTCACATCCAGCACATCTGGGCTACCACTTGGATGGCAACATTACATTGAAGACCACTGTGGCCATGGCAGGAGTAGACAAGGTGGCAGTCTTGTCTTCAGTCGTCATGGAAATCCCAGCTATGCAGCACTAGCAGGTGTTTTGTAATGGAGGATCAGATGCTTGAGCTTCTGAGCAGGCCCCCTCCCTCTACTGCCTTCTGTCAGGGTCTTGGCAGCAGCCGGCTCTGGAAGGCATCCCGGCTCTGGGTTCAAGAGCTTGCTGGGCTTCTACATGAAGGTGTGAAGTGTGAATGTTACCTTTTCTGATTTACACTTCTGTTTTCTGCTACAAACTTGGGATGTTTTCTGAGGGATGCTGAATAGATGGGGGTGGATGGGGGGAGGGAGGCAGGGGCTAGAAAGTGTTCTTCTGGGGCCACCCTCCAGCCTGGGGCATCTGATGGATGAGGAGGGGAGAATCTTTGAGATCCTGTTTATGAGGGCACTGCAAATACCACATTTTTTTCTTGTTTGCAAATTCTAGTGGAGAAGTTTTACCAGGTTGGGAGAGAGGCCTCAGAATTAAGTCCCTGTCTCCTGCCACAGTTTACACCGGTGAAGCTTCCTGGCCGAGCATAAACTCCCAGGTGGAGTACAAACAGCCTTCAACAATGGCACCATCATTGGTACCAATGGCATTGAGAGGAGGTGGCACTGACACCCTAAGTGGGTGGCACTGACACCTAAGACTTATGGTCTTCTGCTGCCTGGAGAGCTTTGCCTCCATCACTGGTGCCCACCTTGGGAATTCCCAGGAATTACTCTTCAAAGGTACACTCGGACGCCCACTCTGCAAGGCCATTTTGTTCCCTTACAGTGCCTCTGAAATCATTTTGAGAGAGGAGAATAGGGAATTAGGGTAAACAACGGTTAAGGCATAAGCAAAAGAACAGCAGGTGCAGCCAGCTCTAGACAGCATATAGGCCACATCCTCACTCCTGTTATAACAAAACAGAAGTTTCCACTTCAGCCTTTTGTTTCATCCTGGGTAAGTCCTTCATAGGGTGTAACCAATTGGAGGCCTCTAAAGGGCACCTAGGGGTGTTGCTAAATTATTAATAGCTTAAAACCCTAAAGAACATTGTAATCAGCGCTCTTGAGCCCTTTACATAAGTTGGCTTCCACTCTGTGGAGTGTACTTTGCTTCAATAAATCTGTGCTTTCATTGCTTCATTCTTTTTTTGCTTTGTTTGTGCACAACAAATCTGTGCTTTTGTTGCTTCTTTCATTGCTTTGCTCTTTTGTTGCTTTGGCTGAGTGTTTTGTTCATTCTTTGTTCAATGCCCCATGAGCCTGGACAACTCAGAGTCAAGACTTTTTACCTCGTAACAGTTTGTTATCCCAGAACTTGCAAATCTATCTGTCTTCTGTGTGTGGCTTTCTATGTGGCATAACTATAGACATTGAAGGTGAAACACAAGAGTAAGACTCTGTTCCTTAAGGAGCTCTCAGTTCACTGGATGAGACAGAAGGAAGCCACCGACTCTGAAAGGAAACAGAGTGTGGCAAAGATGGGGCAGAGGAGTGAGCACAGACAGGATCAAGAGAAAGGGGAGACAAACCATTGTCATCAGTGCAACCTTTCTGGGGAGCAATGTGTGAGTTGAGCTTTGGAGAAGAAATAAGGAAGCTGGATGTGGTGGCTCACTCCTGTAGTTTCAGCACTTTGGGAGGCCAAGGCAAGTGGACAGCTTGAATCCAGGGGCTTGAGACCAGCCTGGGCAACAAGGTGGTCTCAAGATGCTCTATGACTTGTCCTTCTGACTCAACAGACCCAATGATACTTTAAGTGTGGCAAAAGGTGAAACCCCATCTTTACTGAAAATACAACAAATTAGCCAAGCATGGTGGCACGCATGTGTGGTTACAGCCACTTGGGAGGCTGAGGTGGGAGAATCACCTGAGCCTGGAAGGTCAAGGCTGCAGTGAGCTGAGATCGCACCAGTACACTCCAGCCTGGGCAACCGGAGTGAGACCCTGTCTCAAAAAAACATGAATAAATAAATAAATAAATAAATAAATAAATAAATAAGAAGAGCCTTCCAGAGCAGTATGGAATGGCCAATGCCCCTCCTCCCTGCTGCTCCTCCTCCTGTAGCTGTTTCCTTCTCCCCTCTCTCCTTGCTTGGAACAGCCACAGCGACTCTCCAAATCATGACACTCAAAATGCCACTTCTAAAAAGAACATCAGGGTTGGTGCCTCTGCTTCTTCTGAATTGACCTCCCTTCTCTGCCCTCTTCTGACTCGTCCTCCCTTCTCTTTTGGATGTAATTCTTTCCAGCCTCCACACTCCTTTGACAGAAGATGAAAAATTTGTATCTCTGAATCCTATATCTGCTTGTCTATGATCTAAATACTTTTTGAGTCAACAAGGTGAACATATTCCTCATATTTCGTTATGGAATGTTTAAAACGTCTAAAATACACACTGCCACTGAGAAAGTAAATTCATGCACCTACAAAGAGAAAGGAAAGGACAGCCATCCACCATTTGACTACTGAGTTTCCACCTGCACCCTTCGACACTTATTAGAACTTTCATGAAACAGTGTGACAACTCTTATTCCTATCAAACAAAACAGAACTTTCTTCCTTGTATGTAAAGAAGTTTGCACCCTCTACACCGAATAAGGAGATGCACAGTTCCAACAGTTATTGTATACATCACTGACCATATTAGTCACTCCTCAAAATCCATCATAGGTCCACCAAATATTCTGTTACCTTAAGACTACATTGTAAGATTAAACTCCAACAACATGTATATACAACAAATGAATGGAGAGAAAAATAAAAGTGGTGAGCGTATAATATTAATGTGTACATATTACAAATATGCAAAGCTACTACCACACTTGATTTTGTAATTTATCATGAGGCCACGACACCTTTTAAAAAATATATTTAAAAAATATAAAAATTTATTTTAAAAATATTTATTCTTTTCACTACGCTTCTTTTATTTTGTGGAATCAGGCCATGATGGTACGTTTGTTTTCTTGTTTCACTACCCATTCCATATTTTCCCGGTCCTCACTGAGAACCTCAATTTGTCTCAGGTCTTTGTCTAATATGAGTGACCTAAATCACCAAAGTCCAGTCCTGAAGACAGGCTTTTCTGGGGAATATGCAGGGTTTGAGCAGCCGAGGCCCACTGAGTGAGCCCTTTCCAGGCACCAAGGGAAATGCCTTCAGGATAAGGAGGAAGAAAAATCTAACCAAAGATCCAAACCATAGGACCATGTGGACATGGCTACAATGCCAGGTGATTCCCAAAGAGCAGATACTGATGAACTTCCCATGAGGGAAATTCTCTCTTATCAGTCCATGAGAGGGCAAACACACTTAAAGCTCTGAGCAGTTATCAGGAGAAGATGCCTGAGCAGCTTTGGTGCTGACTGTGAAGAAACTGCAGGATGACCAGAAAGACCTGAATCTCCATGCTGAGGTCTGTGCTGTGAGGACAGGGATGTATCTAATGCATCTAACTCCACCTTCTACCCTGACTTCAAACTCTTCAAGAATAAACTGCATCAGGGCAGAGGCTGAGGAACTTCAGTCCATAATAAAACGTGAGGCCTTATGCCCGGCAAGGTGTGTCAGAGACTTGATGGCAACCAAGGTTGCCAAACATGTCAATTCTTCTGGACACAGGGTCACAAGTCATGGACATGCCAAGAAATGTCTATGCCCATTTTGAAAAATTAACTGGATTTGGAAGTAACTCTGAACAATGGGCTGATATATCTTTGTGGGTGGGCCCTTTTGTGCCAATATACACTGGAGTGGCTGTAATTAATAATGCTGAATGTATTGTGGGAATACATGTAGAGTGTGTATGTAATACTATGTTTAACTGTAAAGGACATTCCCTGTAAGAAAATACAAAGTAGAACAATGGAGAGGCACAAGTACATAAGCGGGAGTAACAGTACGTGTTGTTACACGCCAACATCCCTATCCTGGGGTGGGGCAGAAATGAGAAGTCTAACAAAGTGGATATTGCCCGACAAGCATCCATTACTAATGGAGGTGTTACATCCAGGAAAGAAGTAAACTAGACATTAATGGCATCTCACAGCTACATGAAAAAGTGCCTAGTCACCCTCTAGATGTGGCTGTCTCAGACACAGGATCTGTGCCAGCACCGTGGGCTTCTTGGGGACTTTAGTGCACTGAAGTCCTTGAGGATACCTGGGCTTGGTTCACAGATGGGTCAGCTAAGTTCAAGACCAGTGGGGGATATTGGGCTGCTGCTGCTGTGGAGCCCCAAAGGAAATTGCCCAAAACTGCATGGAAAAAGGAACTCTGCTCAGTTGGTGGAGTTGCCGGCCAACACTTGCCCTAGAAACACCCCCCTGCCCCCAAAATGCACCTTGTTACAATTCACTGACTTGTGGGCAGTCAACAGTGGAATTGGCAGTGTGGTGCTGGTGATGAGATGACTGGACGATCAAGTTGTAGCTTCCATGAGGACAAATATTATGGTGCAGATTGCACAAGATTTCAACCCCCGGTTTGTGACACTTGTGGATGCCAAGAAAAAAGACCCTTCAATAATGGACATCACTGAAATCCACAAGCTGATCAGGAGACCTGTACTGCCCTGGTGCCAGGAGCCATTAAAAGATGGAATGTGCTGCCCTTAAAGAGAAACGGATAAAGGTAACTAACAGTGAAGCCTATGCACCAAGTGGAGCATAATCATCATGAAGGCACTTTGGGCAAAAAATGTGGCAGTTCCCTGAAATGGTACCTTCTATTATATTTAAATAGAATTTGTGACAGATTGGAACAGAGGAGGCCCAGGCAGCCTATAAAATTCCCAAACCACATAATTAACACTTCTTGCACTATCTTCTGTGTCTACTTCTGAGCTACTGGAATTTCGGAGTAGCAAAAATGAGCCAGAGAATAGGTGACTCTAATATGGTACATCTTTTGCTGTCTGGCTATGCTTACTGAATTTAGGCAGTTATGGACATTGATGATAATGATCATGAATATGAGGTGGCAATTCCTAAGGTAGTTCTGGTGGACCTCAGTGCATCAGTGGGGAAGAGAGAGTTTTTAGGGTGGTACAAAGTATATAAGGAAGAAACTCCTGAGCCACTTAAGGATGAGTCTGAATGTGTGGTGTTGGCTAGATGTGGGAAGAGCTGCAAACACAGTGAAGTGAATGCTGCAAGGACTGGTCATACTGACCACCCAGCTGTGCAAGGAGAAGAGCAACCCTGGTTGATGTGAGGAGAGAACATCTTGGGCCCTGGAGTGTCAGGGGTGGTGGGAGTTGTCTGC
Source organism: Homo sapiens (assembly GCF_000001405.40). NCBI lineage: Eukaryota > Metazoa > Chordata > Mammalia > Primates > Hominidae > Homo > Homo sapiens. The sequence continues at coordinate 5,491,940 of NC_000020.11, read as the reverse complement.
AGGGCATCTGGCCAATTTAACCCAGAGTGCCACCACCACCCTCCACTGCTGGCCAGCATAGAATCTTAATCAGAACCCTCCCAATAGCCCTTGGCACCAGGAAATAGCTTCCAGTGACGTGGAAGAACAAGGTTAACTTTGCAGACACTCATGTTGTTAGAATTTTTAATATGCTTTTCACCGACTATTCTAAACTCTGTAGCATGAGTGATAATGGACAATCATATTGCCCTGGACTTCCTGCTGGCCAGTGAGTGTGGGAGGTGTGTGGTTGATAACACCTCATGCTGCACCTGGGTTAGTAACATATTTCACTGGCTTAACTCCAGATGTGGCATCTGGCTATGGTCTGATTGCACTAATGTAATAGCATGATCACTCTCATCTAATTTTGCCCAAGACAAACAGAACAGACTTGGTCTGATACGTTTACAGTTACTTAAAGAATGTAATAATGGTGGCCTATGCTACCAAGAATTCTTCACTGCATATGTGAACAAGCAGGAGGTGGCGCATGAAGTTGTAGGGGAATGCCCCCACCTTGCACCCTGACAACCTTGCACATATCCACACAGGCCTTCTGGGTAAAGGCACGGATCACAGGTAATCTGACTCTTGGCAGAACACCCTGTTATCCTCCTGGAACACAGGGTGAGAGGCCTATAAGGAGCTGCTGTAAGGCCATTTCCCACTCCTGTATATATGCTAAGAGGCTGATATTGCCTCTTGGGTTCTGATGAGGTATGAGGCTTTCTACCCCACCCTCTTCAGAATAGAGTTGCATAACAGAGTTGCAGAATTGGATCCTCAGCAGTGGGTACCCTCCAACTTGTCTTGCAGTCATCTGGCTCCTTTCATTTCAGTTTCGTGTGTGTGTATGTGTGTGTGTGTGTGTGTGTGTGTGTGTGTGTGTGTGTGTAGGGATGTGGTTGGGGGACAAGAACCACAGGGAGCTGTCACCTTTGACTATTCTTCCTTTCAGTGTCTACGTCTACGTACATAATAAACAATCTAAATCAAAAAATGGCTTTTGTATCTTTACTGGTCAAATCAGTCATGCTTTGCCCTTTTTTTGTACATTTGACAAGTGAAAGTTCTTGCAACTTCCCCTCCCTACCAAGAATAAACCAGAAGCAAAGCATCACTCGAGAAATTGTATCAATGAATGCCACAATCAAAGACTCAAAAGAAGTGGTGATACCTGTCACATCCCCATGTAACTTACCAGTTTGGCCTGTTCAGGAGTTAGATGAGTTTTGGAGAGAGGCTGTGGGTTATCATTAAGTAAATCAGGTAGAGACTCTCATTGCAATTGCAGGCTCAGATATAACAACTTTACTGGAGCAAATCATCATCACCCTTGAAACTTGGTATGCAGCTACTGACTCAGCTAAAGCTGTTTTTCATCATACCAATTTTCAAGGACCACCAGAAAGAGTTTGCTGTGACCTGGTAGTGCTAACAGTATACCTTCACAGCATTGCCACAGGGTAGCTCTATTCTGTTCTCCACCATGACATGGTCTATAGAAATACTGAGCGTTAAGCCAGACATGGTGGCTCATGCCTGTAATCCCAGCACTTTGGGAGGCTGAGGCGGGCAGATTACCTGAGGTCAGGAGTTCAAGACCAGCCTGACTAACATGGAGAAACCCTGTCTCTACTAAAAATACAAAATTAGCTGGGCATGGTGGCACATGTCTGTAATCCCAGCTACTCAGGAGGCTGAGGCAGGAAAATTGCTTGAACCCAGAAGGCAGAGGTTGCGGTGAGCTGAGATCGCGCCATTGCACTCCAGCCTGGGCAGCAAGAGCGAAACTCCATCTCAAAAAAGAAAAAAAAAGAAAGAAAGAAAAGAAATACTGAGTGTCTTGACACTCCACAAAACATAATACTGGTCCATATTGATGATATTATGCTGATTGGATTTGATGAGCAGGAAGTTACAAGTACTTTAGATGTCTTAATAAGACATATGTGAACCATATTGAAGGAGATAATACCCACAAAAAGCCAGGGGCTGGTCACCTGAGTGAAGGTTTGGGGATTCAGTAGTCTGGAGAACACCGAAATATCTCCTCCAAGGCAAAAGACCAACTTCTGCATTTTGTACTACCTACCACAAAGAGGCACAACTCTTGATAAGCCTTTTTGGGTTTTGGAGGCAACATGTATCACATTTGTGAATCTACAGAGATACTTGTAAGGCTTCCTGTTTCACATGGGACCTGGGACAAAGAAGGCTCTGCTCTAAATTCAGGCTATAGTATAAGCTGCTCTATCACTTGTCCTTCTGACTCAACAGACCCAATGATACTTTAAGTGTGGCAAACAGTTGATGTATGTAGCTTCTCAAAAGGATGAATAGGAAAATGACCACCTTGACCTCTAGAATTTTTGAATAAAATCCATGTCTTCTACAGATAACTATTCTCTTTTTGAGAACAGCTTCTGTCTTGCTACCAGGCCTTGGTAGATACTGAATGCCTAATGCTTCCCGTCACAAACTCACCTTGCCAAGAGATCAGGCATGTGCACAGTCTATCATCAAATGGACATGGTATATAAGAGATCAAGTTTGAGTAGGTCTGGAATATATGAGTAGATTTCATAACAGGCACTTCAGATTCCTTTGACACAAACTCCTGTTGCATTGTGTCCTGTCCTTCACCCCATGCCTGTGACCTCATGAACTGCTCCTTATGACCAGTTTACTGAGGAAAACACTTAGACCTGGTTACAGCTGAACCTATGCAGTAAGCTGGCAATACACAAAAGTGGACAGCCTCAGCATTACAGGGGTGACCCTGGAGTATGATGGAGCTGCCTGCCTTGCCTGTAATGCTTCTGCCAGCAACACCATCTGTGGACTGACAGAATGCTTTATCCACATTCACAGGAATCCAGCCATCATCTGAGGAAGCAGTTCATGTCGCAGCAAAGGAAGTTCTGTTCTCACCACAGCCCCTATCTTCTGGAAGCAGCTGTCGTAATTGAAAGGTGGAATGGCTTAGATTTGGTTATGACACCCTATAAGGATGGAGTTCTGTTTTACCTGATGCAGAATCTGCTTTGAATTAGAAGATATATGGTGCTGTCTCCCCCATAGTCAGAATATGTTGGTTTATAAAAAAGAATAGAATTAAGTGTGGCTCCTTTGACAATCACATCTAGTAACCCACTTAAAGAATTTTTGCATTTTGTCTCAGCAATTTTTAGTTCTGATGATTTAGAGGAATTTGTCCCTAGGGGGTTAATATCAGAGGACAGCAATTGCTTCATTAAACTGGAAGATGAGACTTCTACCTGAATACTTAGGTTCTTTATTTTATTGAACCAACAGACACAAGGGATTACTTGACTGTCTGGTTGGTGTTAATGATTCTGATTTCCAAGAAAAAATTGGGTTGCTGCTACCCCGTGGGTCAAAGGATGGCTATGTTAGCAACCCAGGGGATTCTTAGGGTGGTTCTTTGTACTTCCACATTCAGTTGTAAAGTTTAAGGGAAAGGTACTAAACTAAAAGACGGCAGGATGATTGAGGACTTAGTCCTTTGGGAATGGAGGTTTAGGGCACTGTAAAATACAAAGACCTGAGATGAATTGAGGTTCTTGATGAGGGCAGGAGAAATATGGAGGGGATAATGAAAGGAAGAAGTCATTGTATCCATCATGGCCTGAATCCACAAAGCAAAAGAAGTGTGGTGAAAAATAAATTAATTAATTAAAAAATTTTAATGGTATTACAGCCTCATGACAAATTACAGAAACAGATATGTAGTAGCTTTCTGTATTTTTTCTTTGTAATACGTACACATTTATATTATATGCTCACCAATTTGATCTTTTCTCTCTGTTCATTTGTTGTATATTCATGTTGTTGAAGTTTAATTTTATAAGTTAGGCTTCAGGTAACAGAATGTTTGGTGGACCCAGGATTGATTTTGTGGAGTCATTAATATGGTCAGTGATGTATACAATAACTGTTGGAACTGTGCGTCTCCTGTTCTGTAGAGAGGGTGCCAACTTTTTCAGATACAAGGAAGAAAGGTGTATTTTGTTTGACAGAAATAAAAAGAAAGGTGTATTTTGAAACATAGTTTCATGTAAGTCCTAGTAAACATTGAAAGGTGCAGATGGAAATTCAGTAGTCAAATGGTAGATGGCTGTCCCTTTCCTTTCTCTTTGTAGGTGACTGAATTTACTTTCTTAGGGGCAGAGTCTGTTGCAGATGTTTTAAAAAATTCCACAACTGGGTAGGCACGGTGGCTCATGCCTGTAATCCCAGCATTTTGGGAGGCCGAGGCGGGTGGATCACGCGGTCAAGAGTTTGAGACCAGCCTGGCCAACACGGTGAAAGCCTGTATCTAACTAAAAATACAAAAATTAGCTGGGTGTAGTGACACGCACCAGTAGTCCCAGCTACTCGGGAGGCTGAGGCAGGAGAATAGCTTGAACTGGGGAGGTGGAGGTTACAGTGAGCCTAGACTGTGCCATTGCACTCCAGCCTGGGTGACAGAGCAAGACTCCATCTCAAAAAAAAAAAAAAAATCACAACCAATTGAGGAATATGTTCACCTTGTGGACTCACAGAGGATACAAATCATACAAAAGCAGATGGGGATTCGGAAATGTAAATTTTTTCATCTGCTGTAGAGGGAGTTTGGAGGTTGGGTGAGGGGAAAGAACTACATGAGACACAAAGAGGGCAGGGAAGGGAGGCCAAGTCAGAAGAAGCAGAGGCACCTACCCGGATGTTCTTTTTAGATGTGGCGTTTTGAGCATCATGATTTGGAGAGTCGTTGTGACCGTGCTGAGCAAGGACAGAGGGAAGAAGGGAACAGCTGCAGGAGGGGGAATGGCAGGGAGGAGGGGACATTGGTCTTCCAAGAAGAGTCCTTGGAAGACTCTTCTCCCACACTCTTTAAAACCTCATTTCTTCTCCAAAGCTCAGCTCACACATTGCTCCCCAGAAAGGCTGCACTGATGACAGTGGTCTTTCTCCCCCTTCTCTTGATCCCCTCTGTGCTCACCCCTCTGCCCCATCTTTGCCACATCCTGTTCCCTTTCAGAGTCAGTGGCTTCCTTCTGTCTCATCTAGTGAACTGTGAGCTCCCTAAGAAAAGGAACAGAGTCTTACCCTTGCTTTTCACCCTCAATGTCTATAGATATGCCATATAGAAAGCCACACACAGAAGACAGGTGGATTTGCAAATGCTTGGATACAAATGATTTCAGAGGTACAGTAAGGGAACAAAATGTCTTTGCAGAGGGGGCATCCGAGTGTACCTTTGAAGGGTACACTCAGGAATTCCCCTGAGTACACTAAGGAATTCCCCAGGTGGTCACCAGTGATGGAGGCAAAGCTCTCCAGGCAGAAGAAGACCAAAGAGCAGCCACCCGCCTAGAGTGTTAGTGCCACCTCCTCTCTGAGGGCTGTTTGTGCTCGACCTGGGAGTTCGTGCTCGGCCAGTGAGCATCTTCAGGGTAAACTGTGTCAAGAAACAGGATCTTGTTCTTTAGGGCTTTCTCCCAATCTAGTACAACCTCTCTTCTAGAATTTGCAAAAGATACAGTCTTTGTGGTGTCCTCATAGACTGGATTTATGGGACATCTGTTGTCTAAGTTCCATCTTTAAAATGACCTTACGATGACACTGTGCCTTTTCACTCTGTAGGGTGCATTTCTCACCTGCACTGTGGTCCAGGAAACTCAAGTCACCGTCCCCACCATGTTCTTCCTGACTTCGAAGCAGTCTGGTGACCCCAGGCAGGAACTGACTAGCATGAGAGTCTTGATGCAGGAGAATTTTTGAAGAAATTCAGAAGCAGAACCGAAAGGAGGAGAGAAGGTGGAGGTGGGAAAGCTGACAGCTGGAGACTGGGGAGGGCCCTTTGAGGCCTGGGAGAGAATATGTGGATGGTGGGGAGACCTTTCCCAGCATTTTGGTAAAGGCTCCGTCAGTGCCCTGTCCTCGTGTTGGGGTCCCCCTCTCACAAAGTATCTTTTCCACCTTTAGCCACCTCCACCCTGTCCACTAACCTTCAGTGGGAACAGCAGATGCAACTGGCGGGGCTGAAGGTCAGTGGGAACTCCAGGGCCCCAGAGAAGGCCTGCACCACACTGAGCAGGATCCAGGAGAGTGGAGAAGGGAGGTCGAGGTCCCTGTTAGAGGAGGGTGTGAAGGGGTCAAGATGAAGGAGCAGCAGGACCTGAGGCCCTCCCTCTGCACACAGACTTTCTCTGGTGGGCTCAGGCTCTGGCAACAGCCCCTTATTTACTCCCCTCTCCCTCTGTTCAGGCTCAGCCCATCCCCCCTTAGCTGATGGAGGAGGGGTCATAATGGGACCCTTGTGATGTCACTGCATCCCACCCCTCATTCCTCCGTGTGAAGTCCCCCTAGCACTGTCCCTGCGCTACGCCCTGTCCCAGAGGGCCCACCCAGTGATAGCCCTTTCCTTCCTTCTAGCCCCTCCTTCCTCCCCTCCATCAACTCCCATGTATTCAGTGTCCCTCAGGAAATGTCCAAAATCTGCAGCAGAAAAATGTAACTCAGAAAAGGTGACATTCTAACCTCAAACTTTCAAGCAGAAGCCCAGCAAGCTCCTGAACCCAGAGTCAGGATGCCTTCCAGAGCAAGCTGCCACTGAGGCCCTGCCAGAAGGCAGTGATGAGCCCAGGAGGCCTGCCCAGCAGCTGCAGGGAGGGGGCGGAGGATTGGGGCCGCATCTGCGAGCATCTGAGCCTCTATTCTAAAATACCTGTTAGCACTGGATGCCGGGGTTTCCATGGTGACTGAAGACTCTGCCACCTGGTCCACCCCTGTTATGACCACAGTGGGCCCCAATCTAATGTTGCCATCAAGAGTGATAGCCCAGATGTGCTGGATGTGACTAGCAGGAACAAGGAGAAATGCAGCCCTTAGCTGCGGGGGCGGCGCTCCATTTTGCTAAGGAATAGCTTATGCTTTGGACAAGGGAAGCCGGCTCTGTTGTCCCCAACTGCCCACCTTGCCACAGGGGCAGCAGGGACTGGGAGAAGAGAGTGTGGAGTCTGTTACCGAGCTCCTCTGAGAAACAGACGCCAAAACTAAATTGCAGGGGTTTTAGGAGGGAACAGACATAATGAAAAGAATGAGAAAAAACTGGGTAAGCCACTAGACCATGAAGCAAGTGTGACCCCCAGTGTGGGGGAGAGAGGGGAAGAGGATGGGTGGGACTGCTCAGGACTGTGTTCTAAGGAAAATACGTGGAGCCTTTAGGGAGTCTTTGAAACAGTCAGCAAAGAAGGTTTGGCTGTGCCAGCAACAAGTCAGCCTTAGCATCCCCAGCACACTCGGTCATCAGAGGAGAGCTGCCACGGGAGCTCCGTACCAGCTGGACACCTGGGGGCAGCAGCCCCGCCTGGAGGAGGTCAGGCACAGAGTCCTATGCACTGAGGCTGGATGGAAGTGCAGCTGAGGGAACCCAGAGGTCCCTGGGGCCAAAGCCAGGACCAGCAGGAGAACACACACAATAAGAGCTAGAAGACCTCCTTGCTGGTGGGTTTGTCCTAAAAGGGAGCAGGCAGGCGGGAAGAGAAACTCCTGCAAGAAACCAGAACACCATCTGTGGGGCTCAGGGATCGGGTGTTGTCAGGAAAGAGGCTCTTTTCTATTTATTTTTAAAATCAAAGTTACACATTCACATGGAGAAACAAATGGTCAAATAACACCTAAGAGGCTTTATTTCAGGACACAGCTACTCTGTCCCCCTTTTCTCATTGTCTGCCCACAAAACCATTTTCCATTCTATGACCTGAGTCACAAAGACCTTCTGTGCTGTCTCCCTCTGCCAGGGTGCTGGCCACCCCCTCCATTACTTGAGCCCTTACAGCTATGCATGATTGCTGCATTGGTAATTTGTTGCAACAATTTGGTGATAACAATTTAACACTTAACCCAGTTTTCCACCTGTATAACATCTCATAGCCGATTAAATGAGATTTTCACTCACATGTTGTGGATTTTCTTAAGAACTGATACTTCATGTTAAAGCCCTAGTAAAATAAATGTTTGAGTTCCCTGAGAGTACTCCTGCCACAGGGTTTGGGCCTTGATTCAAACACCCGCAGTGCCTGGGAGACCTCCCCCGCCCCGCCCGCCCCGCATTTATGCAGGGGTCTGCCCTGTTCTCACATGAACTTCTAGCACCAATCTTCCCTCCAGCGGCTCCTAGCTCTGCTTTCTGGGGACACAAGAACATAGGAGTCTCCAAGTCATGCTTATATTCTTCCAAACATAAACTCAAACCCCAATGTCCCCCATTCTTCTTGGCACTGCTGTTGAGCTCCCCGGGTTTGAAGGCTCTGAGCTCAGCGCTCAAAGCCCCTGGTCTGACTCCAGGCCCTTTCCTCTCAGAACATTTCCCCTTGATTCTATTGATCACATCTGGACACTCAGCACAGAATGGGATGACAGGCAACTCAGCAGTAACGGGACACGGCAGTAATGGGAGAGATGGCAGATGACGTTTCTTTACCATCACCATGGAAGCCTCATGCCATGTGCACTGGGTGTGCTTTTGGAGGTGGGAGGGTCAGACAGCACGTCTTGGGCCCTGGGTTCATCCCAGCTCACTGGGACTCTTAGACATTAGGGATCCCTGGGAGGCAGCGATGTCATTGAGCCCATTTTAAGGGCTTACCACACTCACAGCTCTGTGTCTTCTTGACAAGTCCACCCTCTCTAAGCCCCAATTTTTGTTTTACTCTCTAAAGTGTGGGACATTTCTTTATTTCACAGGAAACAGCAGGCAGTGAGATGGAGTGAGAACTGGAATAAGGCAAGGAATATTGCTGAGATGGTTCTCAAATCAATGGAGAGAGATGTCCGTGGATGAATCACAAAGGGAGGGAATGGGTGCAAAGGCCTCACTGAGATCCAATGACAGCAGAAGCTGCCAGGATCTGACGTAAACCAGTTTGGTTGAAGTGTTGGGGGAGGCTATATGACCACATTTTGTTTCTATTGGCACAATTCCATACATGGAAAATGTCATGAGACTCAAAAATGGGTTCAGCAGAAGCTCAAAAATATGCTACAAAATTCAGGAAGAAGCTAAAATATTATCAGATTATTTTATAAAGGACACAACTAGTCAGGAACCTTTTGAAAACACCAGCATGCATCATCCAAAGAAGTAGAATCCAATTAAAAAAAAAAAAAAGACTGGGAGGAGTACATCACAAAGGAGGGTGAGATTTGGGAAGACAGTTACTCTAAGACCCTGTGAGCAAACTGCACCTGATTCCAGAAAGACAGTTGGAGTCGAGGAGAGAATGAAGCAACTTTACTGGCTGGGTTGAAGCCTACCCTATCAGAACGGAATAAGGCTAATGCGGTTATCAAGGTTCTCTTGAAGGAAATAATCCCCTGGTTTGGGTTGCCCCAAAGCCTCCAAAGTGATAATCGCTTGTCTTCTGCCTCCCAAATAACTCAAAGGGTTGCTAAGGCTCTCAGAATTAAATACTATTTACACTCAGCATGGAGGCCTCAATCCTCAGGGAAAGTAGAAAGGGCTAATCAAACTCTAAAACTGGCATTAGCTAAGCTATGTCAGGAAACATCAGAAACTTGGATCAACTTACTGCCCATAGCCCTCTTAAGAAACCATTATTCTCCAAGAGCAAAAATTAATATAAGCCCATATAAAATGTTATATGGGAGGCCATTTTAACTAATGATCTAATTACTGATCCAGAAACGGCTGAGTTAATAAAATACCTAGTTAACCTAGGACAGTTTCAGCAGGTCTCGCAAGAGTTTGGAACTCAAAGGCTCCCCGCACCAGGAACTAACCAGCAAACCAAGGTCAGGCCAGGAGATAAGGTACTTGTTAAAACATGGAATGAGGAGTCACCTGCTCAACAACTACAACCCTAATGGAAGGGACTATTTTCACTGGTGTTGGCCATGCCTTCCATGGCCAAAGTACTAGGATTAGATAGTTGGATACCTCTTTCCAGGTTTAAGCCTGCAACATCTGAAGCCCTGGACCTGGAACCGGAGACTCCCACCAGCCACTATACCTGTGAACCCGTAGAAGACCTGAACTACCTATTTAAAAGACAGTCAAAAGATAAGTAAATGCCTACCAATTTTCCCTGGTGTAAAATGTTAACTGATTTTTGCTCTCTCACTTACAGATGTTTGTATAAGGGTTTCAGCCAATTTTGGAACAAAATTCAAAATCAGGCCAAAATACTTACCTGTTGTGACTAGATCAAGCCAGCTGTACCTTTTATAACCACGTACAAGGCTTGCCGCAACCCATGGATACCCACCTAAATACTTAGGAATAGAGAGCCATGATCCTCAGTAGGCAGGGACAATGCCCATGACCAGTAGAAAGTAGCTACAGAAAACTGATCTTCAGCCCTTTTGCCTCCCATAAAGATTTATGGGGATCATATCTCTCAGAGGGAAATGAGGCAGGAGAATAGGGAATTAGGGTAACCAGGGTTTCAGCTGGTGCAGCCAGTGCCGCAGGGGTGGAAGAACAGCAGGTGCAGCCAGTTCAAATGAGCAGAAGAACAGCAGGTGCAGCATATAGGCCACATCCTTGCTCCCATGATAACAAGCCACTTCAGCCTCCGATTGGTCTCAGGCCAATCCTTTATGAGGTGTGGTCAATTGGAGGCCTCTGAAGGGCACTGAGAGGTGTTGCCGGGTTTTTTCTTTAATAAAAACCGTAATTGAGGGGGCTCTTGAGCAGCCGCTTGCTCAAGCCCAATCCCACTCTGAATTTTCTTCAATAAATCTGTGCCCACACTGGCATTTTGTTCAGTTCCTTGCCCAATACACCAAGAACAGCAGGTGCAGCATACAGGCCACATCCTGGCTGGACAACTCACATTTAGGACACTCTCTCCGGCAACAGGTGACATCATCCTCTTAGCCTGTCAAAATGTTGGTATTACAGGCATGAGCTGCCCTGCCTGGCCTATAACTTTTTTTGCTGAAAAATATTCCCTTGTATGCAGGTATTACATTTAGCCATTCATCAGCTGGTGGACATTTGAACTGTTTCCACTTTTGTTTACTATGAATAAAGCTGCTATGAACACCTGTGTAAAGTTTTGCATAGACATGTTTTCATTTCTGTATATATATCTAAGAGTATAATTTCATTTATTTATTTATTTATTTATTTTTGAGACAGAGTTTCACTCTTGTTGCCCAGGCTGGAGTGCAATGGCGTGATCTCAGCTCACTGCAACATTTTCCTCCTGGGTTCAAGCGATTCTCCTGCTCAGCCTCCCGAGTAGCTGGGATTACAGGCACAAGCCACCACACCTGGCTAATTTTTTATATTTTTGGTAGAGACGGGGTTTCACCATGTTGGCCAGGCTGGTTTCGAACTCCTGACCTCAGGTGATCTACCTGCCTCGGCCTCCCAAAGTGCTGGGATTACAGGCATGAGCCACCACACCTGGCCTATAATTTTTGGGTCAAAGTGTAACTCTGTTTAATTGTTTAGGGGAATTTCCAACCTATTTTATGGTTTTATTGTTGTTGTTTTGAGACAAGGTCTCACTCTGTCACCCAGGCTGGAGTGCAGTGGCACGAACATGACTCACTGCAGCCTTGACCTCCTGGGCTCAAGCAATCCTCCAGTCTCAGCCCCTCAGGTTGCTAGGACTACAGGCGCAAGCCACCACACCCAGGTAATTTTTTATTATTTTTTTGTAGAGATGGGGGTGTCACCATATTGCCCAGGCTGGTCTCAAACTCCTGAGCTCAGGCAATCTGTCCACCTTGGCCTTCCAAAGTGCTGGGATTACAGATGTGAGCCACCACACCTGGTCACCAACCTGTTTTCTAAAATGACTGTACCATTTCACACTCCCACTAGCAGTGTATGAGGGTTTCATTTCTCCTTCCTCACCAACACTCGTTCTTCTCGTCTGTAGATTTTATCATAACCATTCTAGGGGGTATAAAGTGGCATCTCATTCTGCTTTTGATTGCCTTTCCCTAGTGACTAATGGTGTTGAGCATCTAATTATGTGATTATTGGCAATTTGTGTATCATCTTGGAGAAATGTCTGTGCAAATCCTTTACTCATTTTTTCACTTGGGTTACTTGCCTTTTGTTGAGTTGTTAAGGGTTCCCTATGTATTCTGATACAAGTCCCTTAACAGATAGACAAGTTGCCAAGTTTTTCTCCCATCTTATGGGTTGTCTTTTTAGTTTCTTGGTGGTGGTCTTAGAAGTCATAAGTTTTTAATTTGATGAACTCCAATTCTGTTTTTGTCACTTGTACTTTTTTTTTTGAGACAGGGGTCTCACTCTGCCACCCAGGCTGGAGCATGATGGTACAATCATGGCTTACTTCGGCCTCAAATTAGGCCTCAAACTCCTTGGCTTAAGTGATCCTCCTGCCTCAGCCTCCTGAGTAGCTAGAGTAGACCTACAAGCACATGCCACCATACCCAGGTAATTTTTAAATTTTGTTTTGTACAGATGGGGTCTCTTTATGTTGCCTAGACTCGTTTCAAATTCCTGGGATCAAGAGATCCTCCCGCTTTGGCCTCCCAAAGTGCTGGGATTACAGGTATGAGCCACCATGCTCGGCCACTTTTACTTTTGGTGTCATATTTAAAAAATTATTTTTCTGATCCAAAGTTACAAACATTTACCCCTATGTTTTTTTCAAAAAGTTTTATAGTTTAGTTCTTATATTTAGGTCTTTGATCCATTTTGAAATTAATTTTTATGTATGCTGTGAGTCCCAGCTTCTCTGGATACTAAGGTGGGAGGATCAGTTGAGCCCAGGAAACCCAGGCTGGAGTGAGCCATGATGGGGCCACTCCACTCTAGCCTGGATGATAGAGTGAAACCTTGTCTTAAAAAAAAAAAATGGCCTCATGACAGATTAGAAAAACAAGTAAGTATGATAGTAGCTTTCCATATTTTTTCTTTGTAATATGTACACATTTATATTATATGCTCACCATTTTGATCTTTTCTCTGGGTTCATTAATTATATATGCATATTGCTGAAATTTAATTTTATAATTTAATCTTCAACAAACAGAACATTTGGTGGACCTGCAATGAATTTTGAGGAGTAGTAAGAATGGTCAGTGATGTATGCAATAACTGTTGAAATTGTGCTCTCCTATTCTGTGTAGAGGGTGCCAACTTCTTCAGATACAAGGAAGAAAGCTGTAGTTTGATAGAAATAAAAAGTTGTCATATTGTTTCATGTAAGTCCCAATAAGTGTTGAAGGATGCAGAGGGAATCTCAGGAGTCAATTGGTGGATGGCTGTCCCTTTCCTTTCTCTTTGTAGGTGAATGAATTTACTTTCTCAGGGGGCAGAGACTGTTTGAGACGTTTTAAAAAATCCCGCAACCAAATGAGGAATATATTCACCTTGTTGACTCACAGAGGATACGAATCACACACAAGCAGATGGGGATTCAGAGTTGCAATTTTTTTCATGTGCTGTCCAGGGAGTATGGAGGTTGAGTGAGTGGAAACAACTACATGAGACACAAAGAGAGCAGGGAAGGGGGCGGTCAAGTCAGAAGAAGCAGAGGCACCCACCCAGAACTCGGATTTTTTTTTTTTTTTTGACGGAGCCTTGCTCTGTCACCCAGGCTGGAGTGCAGTGGTATGATCTCGGCTCACTGCAACCTCCTCCCACCAGGTTCAAGTGATTCTCCTGCCTCAGCCTCCAAAGTAGCTGGGATTACAGGTATGCACCACCATGCCCGGCTAACTTTTTTTTTTTTTTTTAGTAGAGACAGGGTTTCACCATGTTAGTCAAGCTGGTCTCAAACTCCTGACCTCAGGTGATTCACCCACTTTGGCCTCCTAAAGTACTGGGATTACAGGTGTGAGCCACTGCACCCAGCCATGATGTTCTTTTTAGATGTGGCATTTTGAGTGTCATGATTTGGAGAGTTGTGACTGTGCTGAGCTGGGACAGAGGGAAGAAGGGAACAGCTGCAGGAGCGGGAGTGGCAGGGACGAGGGGCACTGGTCTCTCCATACATCTCAGGAGGGCTCTCCTCCCACACTCTTTTAAAACCTCATTTCTTTTTCAAAGCTCAGCTCACACATTGCTCCCCAGAAAGGCTGCACTGATGACAATGGTCTTTCTCCCCCTTCTCTTGATCCCCTCTGTGCTCACCCCTCTGCCCCATCTTTGCCACATCCTGTTCCCTTTCAGAGTCAATGGCTTCCTTCTGTCTTATCCAGTGAACTGTGAGCTCCCTAAGAAAAGGAACAGAGTCTTCCTCTTGTTTTTCACCCTCAATGTCCATAGATATGCCACACAGAAAGCCACACACAGAAGACAGGTGGATTTGCAAATGCTTGGATAACAAATGATTTCAGAGGTACAGTAAGGGAACAAAATGTCTTTGCAGAGGGGGCATCCGAGTGTACCTTTGAAGAGTAGTTCCTGGGAATTCCCCAGGTGGTCAGCAGTGATGGAGGCAAAACTCTCCAGGCAGCAGAAGACCATAGCAGCTGCCCACTTACAGTGTTAGTGCCACCTCCTCTTTGAGGGCTGATGGTGCCATTGGTGAAGGCTGTTTGTGCTTGACCTGGGAGTTTGTGCTTGGCCAGGGAGCTTCACCAGGGTAAGCTGTGTCAAGAAACAGGATCTTGCTTTTGAGGCCTCTCTCCAAAACTAGTACAACCTCTCTGCTAGAATTTGCAAAGAATAAGGACTTTGTGGTGCCCTCATAGACTGGATTTAAGGGACATGTGTTGCCTGAGCCTCATCTTTTTTTTTTTTTTTAATTATTTTACTTTAAGTTCTCGGGTACATGTGCACAACGTGCAGGTTTGTTACATATGTATACATGTGCCATGTTGGTGTGCTGCACCCATTAACTCGTCATTTACATTAGGTATATCTCCTAATGCTATCCCTCCCCCCTCCCCTCACCCCATGACAGGCCCCAGTGTGTGATGTTCCCCACCCTGTGTCCAAGTGTTCCCATTGTTCAATTCCCACCTATGAGTGAGAACATGTGGTGTTTGGTTTTCTGTCCTTGTGATAGTTTGCTCAGAATGATAGTTTCCAGCTTCATCCATGTCCCTACAAAGGACATGAACTCATTCTTTTTATGGCTGCATAGTATTCTATGGTGTACATGTGCCACATTTTCTTAATCCAGTCTATCATTGACGGACATTTGGGTTGGTTCCAAGTCTTTGCTATTGTGAGTAGTGCCAAAATAAACTTACGTGTGCATGTGTCTTTATAGCAGCATGATTTATAATCCTTTGGGTATATACCCAGTAATGGGATCGCTGGATCAAATGGTATTTCTAGTTCTAGATCCTTGAGGAATCGCCACACTGTCTTCCACAATGGTTGAACTAGTTTACAGTCCCACCAACAGTGTAAAAGTGTTCCTATTTCTCCATATCCTTTCCAGCACCTGTTGTTTCCTGACTTTTTAATGATTGCCATTCTAACTGGTGTGAGATAGTATCTCATGGTGGTTTTGATTTGCATTTCTCTGATGGCCAGTGATGATGAACATTCTTTCATGTGTCTTTTGGTTGCATAAATGTCTTCTTTCGAGAAGTGTCTGTTCATATCCTTTGCCCACTTATTGATGGAGTTGTTTGATTTTTTCTTGTAAATTTGTTTAAGTTCTTTGCAGATTCTGGATATTAGCCCTTTGTCAGATGGGTAGATTGCAAAAATTTTCTCCCATTCTGTAGGTTGCCTGTTCATTCTGATGGTAGTTTCTTTTGCTGTGCAGAAGCTCTTTAGTTTAATTAGATGCCATTTGTCAATTTTGGCTTTTGTTGCCATTGCTTTTGGTGTTTTAGTCATGAAGTCCTCGCCCATGCCTATGGCCTGAATGGTATTGCCTAGGTTTTCTTCTAGGGTTTTTATGGTTTTAGGTCTAACATTTAAGTCTTTAATCCATTACCTAAGCCTCATCTTCAAAATGACCCAGCAGTGACACTGTTCCTTTTCACTCTGTAGGTTGCATATGTCACCTGCACTGTGGTCCAGGAGTCTCAAGTCACCATCCCCACCATGGTCAGTCGCCTGGTGACCCCAGGCAGAAACTGATCATCAGGGGATCTTGGAGGTAGGAAAATTATTAAAGAAATCCAAGAGCAGGACTGGAACAAGAAAGTGTGGAGGTGGGAGAGAGGACAACTGGAGACCCAGGAGGGCCTCTGAGACCAGGGAGAGAATGCGGGGATGGCAGGGACAGAATCTTCATCCACTGAGATTGGTGGAAGCCCCGTCTGTGCCCTGTCCGTGTTGGGGTCCCCCTCTCAGATGGTTTCTTCTGCACCACCAGTCACCCCTACCCTGTCTGCTGACCCATGGCAGAAACAGCAGATGTGACTGGGGGGCACTGAGGCAGGTGGGGACCAAGGGACCAGGGACAGCAGGCGCCACCCTGAGCAGGATCAAGGAGAGCTGGAAAAGGAGGTGGGAGTCGTTGTTAGAGGAGGGTGTGAAGTAGTCGGGACGAAAGAGGCCAGGAGGAGCCCCAGGACCTGAGGCCCTCCCTCTGCACACAGCCTTTCTCTGTTGGGCTCAGGCCCTGGCAACAGCCCATTATTTACTTCCCCCAACCCTGGCTCATGCTCAGCCAATCCCTGCTCCACTGAAGTTCTCTTGCCCAGTGTTCCTGGCAGTAAATTGTAAGGAGGAGTAGTGCTCACCGAAGGGCATAGGGCCTGCCATGGGTCTTTGTACATAGAACTTAATAGCAGCCCTCAGTGTATTAGTGAAGTGGTTTCTCTTATCATTTTGAGGCAAGAAAAGAGGTATAAAGAAGCTGGTTGAACTTGCCCAAGATCACACAGCCAGCCTGTGGCCCAGCTGACTTTTGAGCTCAGGCACATGACTTGGCATTTTCTGACACATTCTGGTTCCTCTGACTTCTTCCCATCTGAGGCTCCCTGCCCTGCATTCAGATGCCCCCTCTGACTTGATGTTCAGGAGCACAGACTTCCAGCAGTGAGAGCCAAGGAAATGGAACCAGCCAGATGGGGAAGGACTGAGTGTAAATCCCAGGCTTGTCTCCAAGTCCAGGCCTTTTCTGGCAGATATCAGCAGCAAGACCAAGGTAGCCACAGAGGCGAGCTCTGCTGGGTGGGAACTCCCTGAATATTTAAGTGTGCATGTGATTCTTCCAGGGGTCTGCCAGATCCTGTGCTGTTCCAGGTAGGAGGCACTGGGCATCTGGGCACTCAAAACCTACCACTGTAAAGAAGACTGAACCAGTAAGGCCACACGCCGGGCACGGGGCCCCATTTTCAGAGGATGGAGCCAGGCCTGTCGGGGCTGCTCATGTGTCCACCTCCTTCAGGCTCCCTCATTATCCAAACGGCATTTCCACACATGGGAATTTGCAAAAGGAGAGAGTGAAAGGCCCAGGGCATTTCTGTGGTCTGTACTAACCCTCAAAGATACTCTTGGTCTGTGTGAGCCTCATTTTCAAATTAGAGGCTAAAGATGGACAAGGCCAGTAGCAGAGTGTGCAGGTCGCCTGGCCAGCCCTGCATTTACTCCTCTCTCCAGGCAGAGTGGCCAGTGCCACTTGCCCACGCAGCAGTCACGTGAGGTCCATCCTCTGGGAAGGCCCTCCCTGATGGCCCCTCTGCGATTCTGACCACAGGATGCCCGCAGCACAGCAGAGTCCCAGGTGGAGCAGAATCGGCCATGAGAGTAAGCTTGGTTCCGAGGACTTTCTGCTGTTATGTCTGTAATTACTAAACTTTTTTCATATAATTGCATTTTCCAAGCATATAAGGATGACAAAAAAATAATATAACAGGTAAACAGAAGTGCCATTTTGCTTCCACGGCTCTGGCCTCCTAAGGGGCAGGAAAGCAGGTGACCTTATTCCTGGTATTAAAATGGCATGGCTGGAGTTCAGGTGGGCTGATGGGAAGCTGTGCATCCTACAGCACCCTGGAATGGCTGAAATTAAGTATTTTATATGGCAAAATTGACTCATGGAGCAGAAATAGCCTGCTCATATGGACATGGAAGCAAGATGTCCTTCAGGCCCCTAAACCTCTTCTGAGCCTCTTCGCCTGCAGATAGCTGGGCAGGCGTGTCTGACCATCCCATGTGGCCAGGGTCCATCTTCAGCAGTTGTGGATTGAGGCCTTTGTCCTTGCCTGTGCTGATTTGAGTGGTACTGGAGAAAGGCGGTGGTGTCTTGGTCTTCGTCTCCAGTGTTAGCCACTGCAATGGCAGGGGGAGGAGGTGGTGGGCTGAGAGCATGGACAGTGCAAAGGCAGTCATGGCTGATTGCTAGAGAGAAAGATGAAGGAGACATTAACTCTTCTTCTGAAGCACAAATCAGAACAGATATTTTTCACGTGTTGAGCATGTATGTGCCCCACCTGGGTACTGGGCAGCATTTCTGATTGAACACTGCCACAGTGCTTGATGCAGGTTTACGTGAGCCCCAATTTCACGAGGGGGTCCCCTCTCCTCCCTCCCTCGGATGTCTCATGTCTCCATCTGCACTCTTAGTGGCCTGGTCTTTCTCTGAGACAATTCCAGGCTGGTTCCCCTGCTTTGCTACCCCCCACAACC
Source organism: Homo sapiens (assembly GCF_000001405.40). Lineage (NCBI taxonomy): Eukaryota > Metazoa > Chordata > Mammalia > Primates > Hominidae > Homo > Homo sapiens. The sequence goes on along the minus strand of NC_000020.11, from coordinate 5,473,345 downwards.
TCTCCCACACCATTGCCCAGCTCCCAAGAGCTCACTGTGGCTGAGGAAAGGGGGTGCCTTGACACGGAGTTCCCTTCCCATGAGGGTCCCCAGACACTTCTCCTGGAAGAGCTCCACCAGGACCCCTGCCACATGCGCCTGTTGGTGCAGGGAGGAGAGGGGAGCAGGTTGTGTCTGATGTGGGTGTGTCTGTGTGCAATGGCTGCTTGTATCCTTGTGTGTTGTGTACCTGCTCAGCAAACTGAGTCCTGTGGCCAAGAATGATCCTGGGCAAAACTGAACACATTTAACCCAAGTTTGATTTCAACTCAACACTTTCCCATTGTGCCTCCTTCTCATCCCAAATGTGCCAAATACTTCTAATCTTAGTATTCGTTCTTTGCTTTGTCTGTCAGGTCCTGTTCTCTACGAGTGAATATCCTAAGGACCATAATAAAGCCAGTTCCCTTTTTGGGGACTGACATTTGTTGAGAACTCCCCCTATGAATGCTGTCTTGCTGCAAAACTTCACCTCTGGATAAAGTGGCTGTGCTCCTTCTGGATGTCTGCATCAGGGCTGCTGAGGCACAGCTGAGAATGCACCACACAGCTGACTATGCTGCTGTGCATATCTCATTACTAAATGCCCGTCCCTTTCAAGGATGCCAGGCGTTAGGGCTGCATTGCAACTTTGATGGACACTGGGGATTAATGTCTGTGTGTCCTTGTTCCATTAAAAAGTTTGAAGTTTGCTGGGTGCGGTGGCTCACACCTGTAATCCCAGCACTTCGGGAGGCCAAGGCGGGCAGGTTACGAGGTCAGGAGATCGAGACCATCTTGACCAACACGGTGAAACCCTGTTTCTACTAAAATACAAAGAAGTAGCCAGGCGTGGTGGTGGGTGGCTGTAGTCCCAGCTACTCGGGAGGCTGAGGCAGAAGAATGGCTTGAACCTGGGAGGAGGAGGTTGCAGTTAGCCGAGATGGAGCCACTGCACTCCAGCCTGGCAACACAGCAAGACTCTGTCTCAAAAAATAAAAAAAGTTTGAAGTTTTATTTTATGAGTTACTGGTATAATGATAAATATATTAATATCATATAGTTCAATTTTTTTTCTTCTGACTGAAATTGACACTCTTTGGTGGGCCTGTAAGTTTCCTGGCCCTGGTCACTGTGCCCACCCTGCCCATGGCTAAGGGGTCCTAGCAGCAAGCATGTATGTGGCTGGCCCCTACACCCTCCCACTCTGCCAGAGATTTTTTCCAAAAGGAATCTCCCTGCACGGAGGGCGGAGCTCGAGATCTCCATGTCGCGGGGTGGCTCCGAGGTCACCACTGCCCAGCATGTCTCTGGCTGCTGACAGGACTCTGTGCTTTCTTAACTCCTTGATGGAGTTCCTGGAGTTGGAGGGAAGCGCTTCCCACCAGAAACCCACTTGTGTCGGTTTTTCTTCCATTTGAAACAAATGATCAAAGTGATAGCGTTTTCTATGTTACGTGTCTGTCTCTGGTCACTTAAAAACAAAACAGAGCAGGGTGTCCCCTGACAGCCCAGGGGAAGAACAGGAAGGCAGCCCTGGGGTTACCTGTCAAGGTTCAGATCATGACCTCCAGCATCGGCCACGGCTGGGTGACATCGTCACTCCCCAGGGGACAGGCGATCCCCTCCTCACCCCACAGCTCAGACCCCAGGATCGGCCCCAATCCCTGTGCCCTGAGCTCTTTCTACTTCCCCTTTCCATCCCAGGCTTGTCCCGAGCCAGCTCTGAAGGAGGCCGGCCCTGGGGGACAGGGAGGAGTCCAGCCTGGGACCCGGCCTGAGCTGGGAGGAGGCGCTCGTCCTGCCTCGGCCCCTGTGATGAATCCCCTCTTACCCGGCAGGTGGTGACTCCCCTATCTGCGGCCGACCCCGAGTCCCCACCGCTCTGTCCTTCTCCAGGGCCTGGCGCAGAAGCACCCTTTGTCCCTGGGTGGCCTGATCCTGCTGACCACGGGTCACCTCCCTGACCACGAATACTCTGCCAACTGTCCCCGAGTGACCAAGGCAGCTCAGTCTAGAGTCTAGAGGCCTGAGTACCCAGGATGACCTAATAGTCCCGACTATTAGGACCCCGGGACTGGGGCTTTGTCAGTTTAATGGATTCCACCTCTAGGAATCAACTGCCGCGAGATTCTAATTGGCTGAGCTGCGTGTCCACGTGACCGATTGAACCGCCCACCTGGGTCTTCCAGCTGCCTATCAAACGCACAGCCCGGTAGGGCCCGGGGGAGGAACAGCCAAGAGGGAGGCCGGGCCAGGGGCTGGTGGCTTCCTCCGCGAGCTCTGCCAGTTTCTGGCCTCAGGTACCCATCGAGTTCTTGCAGTGCCCTGCAGTCTTCAGAGTCAGATCTGTCTCTGGAAGTTTCTTGATGTGAGACCCACAGATGGGCTCCATAGAGACCACTGAGTTCCTGAAAGCGTATTCATCTTTCTGTAAGGAGAGGTCATAGTACTTACCTAGCTCTCAAAAATGACTATCTTAGAATTCAAAGATATTAGGAGTCACTTCTCCACGGAGACCCTCCAGAAGGTCAGGAAGGTCCCAGAATAAAACTCACTGAATCCCATTTCACTCTTGCTCCTAGAAGTCCAAGGTATCATGGAGGCACCTTGGCGGGATGCCAAGGACTGAGCTGGGGGTGAGGTTGTCAGGGAGGAGGGTCGAGGCCCTGGGTGCCCTCTGAGTTCCAACTGGGGCTCTGAGTCCTTCACTCAGTTGTCCCTTGAAGAGCAGTTGCCATATGCAAGGCGCACTGGTGTAAGGTGGAAGTCTCCCTTTACTTCTGGTCTAGGACACCCAGAACAGTGGAGAATTCCTGCTTCAGCTCAGCACCAAAGGCCCACATTTTTACCTGAGATTCCTGGCACCTGCCACTTGGAGCTGGAAGGGGCTGTGCACCTGAGTGTATACAGGGACATTGGAGTCTGTGGACATTCACACCCGGACACGGTTTATGCCACAATGTGTTCATGTCCCTAGTGACTGTGTGTTGATCATTGAGAACACGTGGTGTCTGCACACGAAGGTGGAGCCACTGGCTGCCTGCGACCCTCCTTACCGGAAAGCTTCACCTGGCTTTGTGCTGCATGCTGACTGTGATCATTAATGTGCCAGGAAGGGCAGATGCAGGATGATCCGTAACAACTAGGTCCTCTGAAAACACTCAGCCCTGGAGAATCTCACCAGGTAGCCAGGCAGAAGCCCCATGTGAGAACCCCTCCCATGCGGGCCACTGGTGCTGATGGCCATGGTACTGATGACCCACTGGTGCTGATGGCCATGGTGCTGATGGCCACTGGTGCTGATGATCACTGGTGCTGATGGCCACTGGTGCTGATGATCACTGGTGCTGATGGCCACTGGTGCTGATGGTCACTGGTGCTGACAGTCACTGGTGCTGACGACCACTGGTGTTGATAGCCACTGTTGCTGTTCTTACCATGTGCTGTCATCCTGGCTGCACATGAGACTCATTGGTAGTTTCATCAAAGTTACTGCCTCTTGGACCTCACTTCCCCAGCTCTTGCTACTGTTTTGTGGGGCTGAGTGAATATCAGCAGTTTTAAAGCCCTCAGATTATTGTGATGAGCAGCTAGCTGTCTGCCCCAATCCTTCATTCTTCTAGCAGCCACCTCCTAACCACTTGCCACCTCTCTCACCCAAGCACCTATAGCCACTATGCTGACCAGCTGTCCTGTTGCCCAGGGATGAGGGAGGTCCCTTGGAAACACCAGCTCAGTTCTGGGAAATCGGGACCCACACTCTAACCTGGCCTTCCAGTTTCCTACCAAGGATGGAGCTTTCAATCTAGCTCACAAGTTCTTTGCCCTCCCCATAGTGAGGGCAGAAAGCATGACTGGAAATTGTGATGTCCAACTCCATAGAGGCTCCTTTGCTACATGACATTTATTCTTGATGCCAGGTTCTTTTGGCTAAGCTGTGGGGCACGGGTAGGCTGCAGCCCATGGCAGCTGTGCTGCCTAAATAGCTCTCCAGTAGTTGAAGTGCAATAAATTTATCCAAGTCCTTCTCATGTTACCTTCAGCATTTAGTGTTATGGAGGAGGTTTTCTTCCCCGGTGTAGACATGTGCTTCAGAAGACGCCCAGGGGTTGATTCCTGGAGTGATTTAGCAGAATGGCTGCACTTCCTTGGGGTTTGGAGCTCCTGAGACCCTGAGCACACAGGGATGAGTCATGCCCTATGCTGCCATCTACAAAACTGTGATTGCAATAGTGATTTATTTTTATTTTTATTTTTTTTGAGACAGGGTCTCACTCTGTTAACCACGCTGGAGTGTAGTGATGCGATTTTGGCTCAGTGCAGCCTCGACTTCCTTGGCTCAAGCTATCCTCCCACCTCAGCCTCCTGAGTAGCTGGGACCACAGAGGTGCACCACCATGCTTGAGTGATTTTTATATATATAGATATTTTTGTAGAGACGCCATGAAGGGGCCATAACCCAGGTGATTCTGTGCAATACTGCATATTCTGAAACAGGCTGCATTCCCCTAAAGGAACTAGGTCCAGATTGTGGAAGGGTCTTGAAGTCTCAAACAGTCTGAGCAGAGCAGTTCCCAGAACCCAGAGCTCCTGATGGTGGGCTCCTGTGCCAGCCACATTAACTCTCCATTCCCTTCTTCCCTCAGTCCCTAACAACCAGCATTCTACTTTTTGTCTTTATTTTGACTAAGTACGTAGATTCCATATAAGTGGAATCATATGGTATTTTTCTTTTTGTGACTGGCTTATTTCACTTAGCATAATATCTTCAAGTTTTAGCATAGCATATTACAGAATTTCTAAGGTGAGTAATATCCCATTGTATAGATACACCACATTTTGCTTATCCATTCATCCACTGATGGATAATTCGATTTTTCCATGTTTTAGCTATTGCTATGAACAAAAGTGTACAAATATCTCTTTGAAACCCTGCTTTCAATTCTTTTGAGTATATACCCAGAAGTATAATTACTAGCTTATATGGTAATTCTATTTTTAATGTTTTAAGGAACCACTATACTGCTTTCCTCCACAGCTATGCCATTTTACATTCCCACAAACAGTGCACAAAGGTTCCAATTTCTCCATATCCTCACAAGATGTGTTATTTTCTGTGTGTGTGTGTGTGTGCGTGCGCACGCTTTTTTTTTTTAAAGTAGCCATCCTAATGAGTGTGAAGTGGTATCTTGCTATAGTTTTGATTTGCATTTCCCTAATGATTAGTGATGCAGAGCATCTTTTCAAATGCTTATTGGCCATTTGTATACCTTCTTTGGAGAAAGGTCTACAAAAGTCCTTCGCTCATTTTCGAATCAGGTTTTTTGTTGTTGTTGAGTTTGCGATGCTGGCTTTTTTGTATATTTCTTGATTTGGTGCTGGTTACACAAGTGAGTTGAGGTTGTGAAAATTTTTCAAGGGCCAGGCGCAGTGGCTCATGCCTGTAATTGCAGCACTTTGGGAGGCCAAGGTGGGTGGATTACCTGAAGTCAGGAGTTTGAGACCAGCCTGGCCAATATGGTAAAGCCACATCTCTACTAAAAATACAAAAAAATTAGCCAGGTGTGGTGGCAGGCACCTGTAATCCCAGTTACTCAGGAGGCTGAGGCAAGAGGATCGCTTGAACCCAGGAGGCAGAGGTTGCAATGAGCCAAGAACGCACCAGTGCACTCCAGCCTGGGCAACAAGAGCAAAACTCTGTCTCAAAAAAAAAAAAAAAAAAAAAAAAAAGGAAAAGAAAAGAAAATTTATCAAGATGTACCCTTATGACATTTGCACGTTTTTCTGTGTGTGTGTGTATACTATTACATGTAATACACATATACGATACTTCAATAAAAGTTAAATTAATACATTAAAAAATAAGAAATGGGAGGGAGGGAGGGAGAGAGAAATTGAGGGAAAGAGGGAGGAAACACCAGGCAGAAGCTGTATCCTCTTGAGCTAACCTTAGAAGTCACCTAGAATCACTCCCACCACACTTCACTGCTTGGAGAAGCCACAAGCTTCCATCCAGATTGATGGGGAGGGAAACTAGACCCCACCTTTCAGGAAGAGGAAGGTTAATCACATTGCAAGAAGAGCAGGTGGCATGGAATAAATGTATAGATGTGTCCATCTTGGGAAAATACGATCTGTCCCGGCAGTGTAGGGGAGGTGGAAAGTGGTGGTGCAGTGGCTAAAAGTGCAGGCTCTCTCAGGCCCCAGCCCGAGACAGGCCAATTCAGTCTGTCTGCAGGGAAGCCTTGGGAATCTGTACTTTCACAGGATGGGGCTGACATGCAAATGCAATGGGTGACCCTTTAGAATTACTGCCACATGAATTGAGGGTTTGAATTCTAGAGTTAGAAGAATTCTTTTGGACAAGTCCATTAACTTTTATTACTCTCAGCTTCCTCAGCCACAAAAGTGGCATCACGGTTCCTACACCATACGTGTATCATAAGGATTGAAATAGCATTCTTAACGGGCTTAGTGGAGTGCCTTGCATGTAGAAAGTGCCCCATAGATGGTATTATTATTGTTATCACTGTTTTCAAATTATGGGAATAGACATACCTGAAAAATTAGAGCACTGACAGCCCATTCTGGAGTTCTCAGGACACCAAGTCTCCATCAGACTCTGCCTTTGCATCTGGAGGCCAGCTGGAAGGCCAGACTGCTTTGGTGACAGGGAGAGGATGGCATGGCTGTCAGTGGATCTTGAGACTGAGAAGGTGCAGGGCTTGCTTATGGACCCCACAGTTGGAATGTGGAAGTGTCAGGTAAAGCCCAGGGATCCTGGGACCCCGACTTGTGTTCCACTGCTGGTCTCCTTCCCTCAAGTGCCCAGCTGGCCTCAAGTTTCCTCTCGTTGAGTGAGGCTTGTTGCCAGCTTCCTCACTCACCCTGGGGAAGCAGAAAGTCTCAAAATGCAGGCAGACACTGTGGGCAGGAAGGGCATCTCCTGTCACAGTGGGTGGTGCCTACATAGGCATAGGGGACTCCTGCGGGAACCACAGTATCGGGAGAGCTGGTGCCTTGTCACTGAAACCAGTGGAAAGAAACATTTACTTATAGAAGCTATGCAAACATACCTTTCATCACACCACTCTCCAGCTCCCTAACCCTCAATGGCTCCCCTGTGCCTTAAGAAAATCTAACTGTGGACCTTATAAGACAAAAATATACCTAAGCCCTCCAACCCAGGGAAAATAAACCAAGTGTTCTCCTTTAAGCACATCCCAAGCCCTCCTGTCTTTGTTCCCAGCTTCTCCCTACTGTCCTTCTTGCTCAGATCTTATTGTCATTGTCATTGCAATGACAGTAAGTTCCTTTCTCTCTTCTTTCCAGCCTCTACCGGCCACTGTGGCTCCAGAGTGAACTCCTCACATCTTCCTCTGAATTCTTCTAGAGTAACTCTGTAGCAGTCATCGACAGTAGGTCCCATTTCATCAGTAGGAAAAGCCTGTTTTTGTCTCCCTTTGAAGACTTTTCTGTCAGTCTGCCTTAGATTTTTCTAATTCCCTGCAGCTCCTGTTCAAAAACTGTTTCCCCCAATTGACTCATACAGTGCCCAAATTGTACACAAGCCAATGCAGATTTCAGAAATCCTATTGTCACAGGATCCTCTGGGTGTCGCTTCACCAGCTAGAAACCTCATGGCCGGCAGCGCCTCTACTTGAATATTGCTCACGCCCACTGGGTTCATTCCACCCATTCAGCCTGGCAGGCTGTGCCCAGCTTGCACTACCAGCCCAGATCCCATGCCTGCCGAGGGCAAGCCAGATGCAGAAAGGCGAAGGGTGTGTGAGTGAGCAAGTGCGGAGTGTGGCCCCTGCACACAGCCAGGCACGCCAACTGCCGCAGCAGGGCGGACGGCTCCAGGCACCGGCATAGGCACTGGCTCCATGCAAGGCTGCGGCTGGAGCAGGCATACTACAAGCGGCTTCTCCTGCAGTTGCCAGCATCTGGATGAAGGGAATGTGGTGGCTCCTGAAAACCTGGAGATGCCAGCAACTGCAGATCCTCTACGGGTTGGGGGTGCATGTTACAGCTCTCTCATTCCCACCACCCGCAGCGCGACAGCATGGCAAACAGCGGTGGGAGGCAATGTGTTTCAGCCCATTTGTGTTACGGCTTGTTCAATCCCATCACCCCAACTCCAGCCCACAGCTCCTGGGCTGGCCTGCCCCGCCACTGCTTCCTGTCACATCTGGCAGCCGCCCAGCACTGGTGGAGGGCGGGAGGGCTATAGTGTTACAGCTCTGGCTTGGGAATTCTGAGGTCTGCGTCCCCAGAAGGGTCACCACTCTTCACTCCCACAGTTTGGTGAACAGGGAAGCATATCACGACCTGCAGCTCAGTGAGCTGGCCAGGAAAGTGTTACAGCCCTTTTTGTGCACTCTGTTCGCAGGTCCTGAGTTGTTATCGCAAGTCCAGGAAGAATGAGGTTACTCAGGCAACTGGAGGGTGAGGATGGAGAAGAGCTTTATTGAGCAACAGAACAGCTCTCAGCAGAGAGGAGACCCAAAGTGGGTAGCTCCTACCTGCAGGAAGGTAATCCCAATGTGTGTCTGAGTCCTGCTGAGTCTAGGGGTTATTATAGGTGCAGAATGGAGGAAGTGCATGCTGATTGGTCCATGAGTGGGAGGAAGTGCATGCTGATTGGTTCAAGGGTAGGTCCAAAAAACCAGTCACCATCAACTGGCTGAAAGGCATCAAGGAAATTCTTACTCCCAGTCAGGGACTCCACCTGGAACTGGCAGCTTGGCCTCCAGGCTTCAGGCCATCCCTGGTTTGAAGGTTGGGCCTCACCAGGGACCCACCCCTTCCCACCTAGGTACCTGTCTGCCTCCTGCCACCATCACTATTGTTAAATCTCAGGGTGGAAGGCATGAGGGGTGGGCAATGGGAAGTGTAAATTTGTGAATTATCACTTTGGCTAAGTGAATGACTTAGTTTACAGTAATCTGTCATCCTATTTTATGATATCAAGTGTTTTGAACCTTTGATATTAGACAAACTTTTCAAAATCAAAGCTTCAAGTTCTAAATTTAGTCTTTTTGACCTTAAACTAACCTTTTAGATATTAATGTCCCTGAAAGTCCAAGAGAGACGTATTGGGTTTATTTGGTATGTTAAAATCCTAGAGAAAGCCTTGTCAAATATGAAACAGTGTTTGCCTTTCCTTGGATTATATTTTATGGGTGTTATTAATATGTCTTCCAAAATTGTATGAGATACATATAATTCTGATGTCTTAATGTATGTTATTAGTAATAATTATAATTATTATGTTAAATTTTTTTCTGTTACAGAAGTAATCAAATTTTCTTGCCAATTGTGTCTTTAACCATGGCTGATCTAAGACTGTTGCCATCCACAGACAATTATTGTTTTACTTTTTGATTCTTCTCAAAAAGAGGTTCATAATCAGCTGTAGACCAAAATTTGCTTCTATATGGAAATTCATGGAAAAGACTCTGACAAGTATTCTTAAATACAGGTTTCTGAAGGGGGCCAAGATGGCCCAATAGGAACAGCTCCAGTCTGCAGCTCCCAGAAAGACCAACGCAGAAGGCAGGTGATTTCTGCATTTCCAACTGAGGTACCCAGTTCATCTCACTGGGACTGGTTAGGCAGTGGGTCCAACCCACAGAAGGCGAGCAGAAGCAGGGTGGGGTGTCACTTTGCCCAGGAAGTGCAAGGAGCTGGGGGACCTCCCTCCTCAAGCCAAGGGAAGCCATGAGGGACTGTGCTACCTGGGACAGGTTACTACACTTTTCCCATGGTTTGTATAATCTGCAGATCAGGAGATTCCTTCGTGTGCCTACACCAACAGGGCCTGGGATTTCAAGCAGAAAACACAAGTGGCTGTTTGGGCAGACGCCAAGCTAGCTGCAGGAGTTTGTTTTTCCTATCCCAGTGGCATCTGGAACCCCAGCAAGACAGAACTGTCCACTGCTCTGGAAAGGGGGCTGAAGCCAGGGAGCCATGTGGTCTCGCTCAGTGGGTCCCACTCCCACGGAGCCCAGCAGGCTAAGAACCACTGGCTTGAAATTCTCGCTCCCAGCACAGCAGTCTGAGGTCGACCTGGGACAACTGAGCTTGCTGTGGGGAGGGGCATCTGCCATCACTGAGGCTTTAGTAGGCGGTTTTCCCCTGACAGTGCTAAGGAGGCTGGGAAGTCTGGGCTGGTTGCAGCAAAGCAGCTGTGGCCAGACTGCTTCTCTAGATTCCTCCTCACTAGGTAGGGCATCTCAGGGGAAAGGTAACAGCCCCAGTCAGGGGCTTACAGACAAAACCTCCATCTCCCTAGGACAGAGCACCTGAGGGAACGGGTGGCTGTGGGTGCAGCTTCAGCAGATTTAATCGTTCCTGCCTGCCAGCTCTGAGGAGAGCAGCTGATCCTGATGAGAGGGATTCTCCCAGCATAGTGCACCAGCTCTGCTAGGGGACAGACTGCCTCCTCAAGTGGGTCCCTGATCCCCGTGCCTACTGACTGAGAGAGACCTCCCAACAGGGGTTGACAGACACCTCATACAGAAGAGCTACAGCCGGCATCAGGCTGTGGGACAAAGCTTCCAGAGGAAGGAGCAGGCAGCTATCTTTGCTGTTCTGCAGCCTCCACTGGTGATACCCAGGCAAACAGGGTCTGGAGTGGACCTCTAGCAAACTGCAGCAGACCTGCAGAAGAGGGGCCTGACTGTTAGAAGAAAAACTAACAAACAGAAAGCAACAACATCAACATCAACATAAAGGACCCCCACACAAAAACCCCATCAAAAGGTCATCAGTCTCAAAGATCAAAGGTAGATAAATCTAGAAAGATGAGGAAAAACCAGTGCAAAAATGCTGAAAATTCCAAAAATCAGAATGCCTCTTGTCCTTCAAATGATTGCAACTCCTGTCCAGCAAGGGCACAAAACTGGACAGAGAATGAGATTGATGAATTGACAGAAGCAGGCTTCAGAAGGTGGGTAATAACAAACTCCTCAGAGCTAAAGGATCATGTCCTAACCAATGCAAGGAAGCTAAGAACCTTGGTAAAAGGAACTGCTAAGTAGAATAACCACTTTAGAGAGGAACATTAATGACCTGATGGAGCTGAAAAACATGGCATGAGAACTTTGTGAAGCATACACAAGTATCAATAGCCGAATCGATCAAGCAGAAGAAAGGATATCAGAGACTGAAGATCAACTTACTGAAATAAGGCATGAAGACATGATTAGAGAAAAAGGAACGAAAAGGAATAAACAAAGCCTCCAAGAAATATAGTACTATGTGAAAAGATCAAACCTATGATTGATTGGAGTTCCTGAAAGTGACAGGGAGAATGGAAGACACACTTCAGGATATTATCCAGGAGAACTTTCCCAACCTAGCAAGACAGGCCAACATTCAAATTCAGGAAATACAAAGAATATCACTAGGACGGTCCTTGAGAAGAGCAACCCCAAGACACATAATCGTCAGATTCTCCAAGGTTGAAATGAAGGAAAAAATGTTAAGGGCAGCCAGAGAGAAAGGTCAGGTTACCTACAAAGGGAAGCCTATCAGACTAACAGTGGATCTCTCGGCAGAAACCCTACAAGCCAGAAGAAAGTGGGGGGCAATATTCAACATTCTTAAAGAAAAGAATTTTCAACCCAGAATTTCATATCCAGCCAAACTAAGCTTTATAAGCAAAGGAGAACTAAAACCCTTTCCAGACAAACAAATGCTGAGGGATTTTGTCACCACCAGGCCTGCCTTACAAGAGCTCCTGAAGGAAGCACTAAATATGGAAAGAAAAAACTGGTGCCAGCCACTGCAGAAACACACCAAAATATAAAGACCAATGACACTATGAAGAAACTGCATCAATGAATGTGCAAAATAATCAGCTAGCGTCATGATGACAGGATCAAATTCACACATAACAATATTAACCTTAAATGTAAATGGGCTAAATGTCCCAATTAAAAGGCGCAGACTGGAAAATTGGATAAAGAGTCAAGACCCATTGGTGTGCTGTATTTAGGAGACCCAACTCACATGCAAAGACACACATAGGCTCAAAATAAACGGATGGAGAATATTTACCAAGCAAATGAAAATTTAAAAAAAGCAGGAGTTGCAATCCTAGTCTCTGATAAAATGGACTTTAAACCAACAACGATCAAAAAAGATAAAGAAGGGCATTACATAATGGTAAAGGGATCAATGCAACAAGAGCTAACTATCCTAAATATATATGCAACCAGATTCATAAAACAAGTTTTCAGAGACCTACAAAGAGACTTAGACTTCCGCACAATAATAGTGGAAGACTTTAACATCCCACTGCCAATATGTTAGACAGATCAACAAGACAGAAAACTGACAAGGATATTCAGGACTTGAACTCAGCTGTGGACCAAGTGGACCTAATAGACATCTACAGAACTCTCCACCCCAAATCAACAGAATATACATTCTTCTCAGTGCCACATAGCATTTATTCTAAAATGACCACATAATTGGAAGGAAAACACTCCTCAGCAAATGCAAAAGAACAGAAATCATAACAGTCTCTCTGACCACAGTGCATCAAATTAGAACTCAGGATTAAGAAACACATTCAAAACCACACTACTACATGGAAATTGAACAACTGCTCCTGAATGACTACTGGATAAATAATGAAATGAAGGCAGAAATAAAGAAGTTCTTTGAAACCAATGAGAACAAAGAGACAACATACCAGAATCTCTAGGACACAGCTAAAGCAGTGTTAAGAGGGAAATTTATAGCACTAAATGCCCACATCAGAAAGCTGGAAAGATCTAGAATCGATACCCTAACATCACAATTAAAAGAACTAGAGAAGCAAGAGCAAACAAATTCAAAAGCTAGCAGAAGACTAGAAAAACTAAGATCAGAGCAGAACTGAAGGAGATGGAGACACAAAAAACCCTTCAAAAAATCAATCAATCCAGGAGCTGGTTTTATGAGAAGATTAACAAAATAGATGAACCGCTAGCTAGACTAGTAAAGAAGAAAAGAGAGAAAATCAAATAGACACAATAAAAAATGATAAAGGGGATATCACCACTGATCCCACAGAAATACAAACTACCATCAGAGAATACTATAAACACCTCTAAGCCAGTAAACTAGAAAATGTAGAAGAAATGGATAAATTCCTGGACACATACACCCTCCCAAGACTAAACCAGCAAGAAGTTGAGTCCCTGAATAGACCAATAACAAGTTCTGAAATTGAGGCAGTAATTAGTAGCCTACCAATGAAAAAAAGCCCAGGACCAGATGGATTCACAGCCGAATTCTACCAGAGGTATAAAGAGGAGCTGGTACCATTCCTTCTGAAACTATTCCAAACAACAGAAAAAGATGGACTCCTCCCTAGCTCATTTTATGAGGCCAGCATCATCCTTATACCAAAACCTGGCAAAGACACAACAAAAAAAAGAAAATTTCAGGCCAATATTCCTGATGAACATCGATGCGAAAATCCTCAATAAAATACTGGTAAACCGAGTCCAGCACCACATCAAAAAGCTTATCCACCATGATCAAGTCAGCTTCATCCCTGGGATGCAAGGCTGGTTCAACATACACAAATCAATAAACATAATTCATCATATAAACAGAACCAATGACAAAAACCACATGATTATCTAAATAGATGCAGAAAAGACCTTCAATAAAATTCAACATCCCTTCATGCTAAAAACTCTCAATAAACTAGGATTTTGATGGAACATATCTCAAAATAATAGGAACTATTTATGACAAACCCATAGTCAATATCATGCTGAATGGGCAAAAGCTGGAAGCATTCCGTTTGAAAACCGGCACAAGATAAGGATGCCCTCTATCACCACTCCTATTCAACATAGTATTGGAAGTTCTGGCCAGTGCAATCAGGCAAGAGAAAGAAATAATGGGTATTCAAATAGGAAGAAAGGAAGTACAATTTTTTCTGTTTGCACACAACATGATTGTATATTTAGAAAACCCCATCGTCTCTCAGCTCAAAAACTCCTTAAGCTGATAAGCAACTTCAGCAGTCTCAGGATACAAAATCAATGTGAAAAAATCACAAGCATTCCTATACACCAGTAATAGACAAGCAGAGAGCCAAATCATGAGTGAACTCCCATTCACAGCTGCTACAAAGAAAATAAAATACCTAAGAATACAACTTACAAAGGAAATGAAGGACCTCTTCAAGGAGAACTACAAAGAACTGCTCAAGGAAATAAGAGAGGACACAAACAAACAGAAAAACATTCCATGCTCATGGATAGGAAGAATCGATATCATGAAAATGGCCATACTGTCCCAAATAATTTATAGATTCAATGCTATTCCCATCAAGCTATCATTGACTTTCTTTGCAGAACTAGAAAAAACTACTTTAAACTTCATATGGAACCAAAAAAGAGCCCACATAGCCAAGATAATCCTAAGCAAAAAGAACAAAGCTGGAGGCATCACACTACCTGACTTCAAACTATACTATAAGGCTACAGTAACCAAAACAGTATGGTACTGGTACTAAAACAGATAAATAGACCAACAGAACAGAACAGAGACCTCAGAAATAGCGCCACACATCTACAACCATCTGATCTTTGACAAACCTGACAAAAACAAGCAATGGGGAAAGGATTTCCTATTTAATAAATGATGCTGGGAAAACTGGCTAGCCATATGCAGAAAACAGAAATTGGACCCCTTCCTTACACCTTATACAAAAATTAACTCAAGATGGATTAAAGACTTAAATGTAAAACCCCAAACCATAAAAACCCTAGAAGAGGTCAGGCGCAGTGGTTCACGCCTGTAATCCCAGCATTTTGGGAGGCTGAGGTGGGTGGATCACCTGAGGTCAAGAGTTCAAGACTGGCCTGGCCAACATGGTGAAACCCCGTCTCTACTACAAATACAAAAATTAGCTGGGCATGGTGGCATGCGCCTGTAGCCCCAGCTACTTGGGAGGCTGAGGCATGAGAATTGCTTGAACCCAGGAGGCGGAGGTTGCAGTGAGCTGAGACTGCACCATTGCACTCCAGCCTGGGCAACAAGAGTGAAACTCCATCTCAAAACACAACAGAAAAACCTTAGAAGATAACCTAGGCAATACCATTCAGGACATAGGCATGGGCAAAGACTTCATGACTAAAACACCAAAAGTAATTGCAACAAAAGCCAAAATTGACAAATGGGATCTAATTAAACTAAAGAGCTTCTGCACAGCAAAAGAAACTATCATCAGAGTGAACAGGAGACCTACAGAATGGGAGAAAATTTTTGCAAGCTACCCATCTGACAAAGGGCTAATATCCAGAATCTACAAAGAACTTAAACAAATTTACAAGAAAAAAATTAAACAACCCCATCAATAAGTGGGCAAAGGATATGAACAGACACTTCTCAAAAGAAGACATTTATGCAGCCAACAGACACATGAAAAAATGCTCATCATCACTGGCCATCAGAGAAATACAAATCAAAACCACAATGAGATACCATCTCACGCCAGTCAGAATGGCGATTAATAAAAAGTCAGGAAACAACAGATGCTGGTGAGGCTGTGGAGAAATAGGAACGCTTTTACACTGTTGGTGGAAGTGTAAATTAGTTCAACCATTGTGGAAGACAATGTGGCAATTCCTCAAGGATATAGAACCAAAAATACCATTTGACCCAGCAATCCCGTTACTGGGTAGATATATACTCAAAGGATTATAAATCATTCTACTGTAAAGACACATGCACACGTATGTTTATTGCAGCAGTATTTACAATAGCAAAGACTTGGAACCAACCCAAATGTCTATCAATGATGGACTGGATAAAGAAAATGTGGCACATATATACCATGGAACCACTATGCAGCCATAAAAAAGAATGAGTTCATGTCCTTTGCAGGGACATGGATGAAGCTGGAAGCCATCATTCTCAGCAAACTATCACAAGGACAGAAAACCAAACACCACATACTCTCACTCATAGGTGGGAATTGAACAATGAGAACACATGGACACAGGGAGGGGAAATCACACCAGGTGGGGCCTGTTGGGGGGTCGGGGGCAAGGGGAGGGAGAGCTTTAGAAAAAATACGTAATGCATGTGAGGCTTAAAACCTAGATGACAGGTTGATAAGTGCAGCAAATCACCATGGCACACGTATACCTATGTAACAAACCTGCAGATTCTGTACATGTATCCTAGAACTTAAAGTAAAATTTAAAAAAAAATACAGGTTTCCGATAACTTTAGAGAGCATACCATTGGATTATAAAAAACTTCCAGGGCTGTAATTAAAAAGCCAAGGCTGGGAGCAGTGGTTAACATCTATAAGTCCAGCACTTTGGGAGACTGAGGTCGGTGGATTGCTTGAGCCACAGGAGTTCGAGACCAGCCTGGGCAACATGGTGAAATCCTGTCTCTAAAAAAAATACAAAAATTAGCCAGGCATGGTGGCATGTACCTGTGGTCCCAGCTACTTGGGGGACTGAGGTGAAAGGATCCATTGAGTCTGAGAGTTCAAGGCTTCAGTGAGCTGTGTTCATGCCACTGCACTGCAGCCAGGGCAACAGCAAGACCCTGTATCAAAACAAACAAACAAAAAAAGCTGATGCATTCATGAGGATTGCTAACTCAATATCGAGCAGAACAAGAGTTAATTACATGGGACTAAACTAATAGAGGACTGAAATTTTTTTCTTACTTTTGGGTTTGAAACATTGCTAATTCTTTTGTTTTCCAGTCCAGAAAACTTTTTTTTTTTTTTGAGACAGAGTCTTGCTCTGTTGCCCAGGCTGGAGTGCAGTGGCACAATCTCAGCTCACTGCAACCTCCACCTCCCAGGTTCAAATGATTCTCCAGCCTCAGCCTCCAAAGTAGTTGGGATTACAGGAGCGTGCCACCACACTCAGCTAATTTTTGTATTTTTTAGTAGAGATGGGGTTTCACCATGTTGGCCAGGCTGGTCTTGAACTCCTGACCTCAGGTGATCCACCTGCCTCGGCCTCCCAAAGTGCTAGGATTACAGATGTGAGCCACCACGCCCAGCCAACTTTTTTCTTTTGAACTGTTTACAGCACACAACAAATTAAGTAAAGTATACTGTTTTGAGCAATATTTAAAGCATATTTCTTTCCCTCTAGCTGATTTCTTCAGAATTTGGAAACTATTGTGAGTGTTATTAATTTATGGCAACATGGTTATTTGCATAAGTTCAATAAGAATCTGTTTTCTTGTGTAACAGGACACAATTAGAGACACTGGTTATTTTTC
This sequence comes from Homo sapiens, assembly GCF_000001405.40. Classification (NCBI taxonomy): domain Eukaryota; kingdom Metazoa; phylum Chordata; class Mammalia; order Primates; family Hominidae; genus Homo; species Homo sapiens. The sequence goes on along the minus strand of NC_000020.11, from coordinate 5,456,047 downwards.
CAAGGCTTTAATTGGAATGGTATATATTCAGATATGACCAGAAAGTTTTGAGGAATGGAGGTTGACTCTACAGAGCTAATAAAAATCCATTGGAAAGACTGGCCTATTACCTTGTCTATGCAATTCCTTTACAAAGTTCCTGACCCATGTCACTTTCTAATGAGCCCGGGAAACTTGAGTTATTTTGAGACCTTGAGAAAAGAGAAATTTTTTTTTTTTTTTTTTTGAGTTGGGGTCTCACTCTTTCTCCCAGGCTGGAGTGCAGTGGCATGATCACAGTTCTTGTAGCTTCAACCTCCAGGACTCAAGTGATCCTCCTACCTCAGCTCCCCAAGTAGCTAGGACCACAGGCATGTGCCACCACACCCGGCTAATTTTTTTTTTTTTTTTTTTTGTGGATAGGGTGTCTCCCTGTGTTGCCCATGCTGGTCTTGAACTCCTGGGTTCAAGTGATCCTCCCACCTCGGGCTTCCAAACTGCTGAGATTATAGGCATGAGCCACTGTGCCCGGCCTGAGAAGAGAGGAATGTACCCAATTTGTACAGGTATCTGAGGGCACAGATAAAACCTTGGATTGGCTAACCTCAAGAGGCTTTTAAAAGTCTAATCTGAGATTCCTTAGGAAAAGTTCCAGCAAAGCCAGTTGAAAAGGGGCCTTGTCTGGTCACGGTGGCTCACACCTCTAATTCCAGTGCTTTGGGAGGCTAAGATGGGAGGACTGCCTGAGGCCAGGAGTTCAAGACCAGCCTGGGTAATATAGTAAGACCCATCTCGACAAAAAATAACTGGGCCTGGTGACGCATGCCTATAGTCCTAGCTACTCGAGGCTGAGGTGGGAGGATTGCTTGAGCCCAGGATGTTGAGGCTGCAGTGAGCCATGGTTGTGCCACTTCACTCTTGCCTAGGTGACTATTAAAAATTAAAAAAATAAAAGAAACCTATACAGCCCAATCATTATTCTTGCTGTGCCTTATGCAAATAATCAGGCCAAGGATAATGAGACTAAAACATATTTTGCAAATAAATTGGTCCTAACATGATTCGTTTTTTGTAGAAATGGGGGACTGGAGATTAAAAAAAAAACATATGTTTCAAAAGAAACTATAGTACACTTGTTATTAGATTCTACCTTTGAGGAGGAGGAGGAGGATTATTATTATTATTGAGATGGAGTCTTGCTCTGTCGCCCAGGCTGGAGTGCAATGGCACGATCTTGGCTCATGCAACCTTCACCTCCTGAGTTCAAGTGATTCTCCTGTCGCAGCCTCCCAAGTAGCTGGGATTACAGGTTCGTGCCACCACACCTGGCTAATTTTTGTAGTTTTAGTAGAGACAGGATTTCACCATGTTGGCCAGGCTGGTCTCGAACTCCTGACCTCAGATGATCCACCCACCTCAGCCTCCCAAAGCGCTGGGATTACAGGCATGAGCCACGGTGCCCAGCCTTTGTTCGTTATTTTTAAGATCTTATTATTTGTCTACAGTTTAGACTGGATCCTGAACTTTTTCCTGGCTATACACCTCTAAACTAACATTAAAATTTTTTTTTCTTTTTCTCCCCTTTTTTTCCCTGACTTGAAATTACTAGAAATTAAAACTGTGCTTTTCTTAAAGCTCTGCAAACTAATGCTATATACCTTAAGCTTTGGGAGAAATAACAGCAACTTACATATAAGCAACTGTTTTGCCTGCTGATGTATGCACTTTTCAGAAAGTTCATTTAAACACTTGATTCAAACTACAGTCCAGAAAAACCTGTCAGATTGCTGCTGTAATGAAAATGCTTCAGAGACTCATAAAAAACTAACCTAGGGTTAGAATAATGATTGCCCAAAGAATATATATATATATATATATATATATATATATATATATATATATATTTTAGTATTTATTGATCATTCTTGGGTGTTTCTCAGAGAGGGGGATGTGGCAGGGTCGTAGGACAATAGTGGAGAGAAGGTCAGCAGATAAACACATGAACAAAGGTCTCTGGTTTTCCTAGGAAGAGGTCCCTGCGGCTTTCTGCCGTGTTTGTGTCCCTGGGTACTTGAGATTAGGGAGTGGTGATGACTCTTAACGAGCATGCTGCCTTCTAGCGTCTGTTTAACAAAGCACATCTTGCACCGCCCTTAATCCATTTAACCCTGAGTTGACACAGCACGTGTTTCAGAGAGCATGGGGTTGGGGGTAAGGTTATAGATTAACAGCATCCCAAGGCAGAAGAATTTTTCTTAGTACAGAACAAAATGGAGTCTCCTATGTCTACTTCTTTCTACACAGACACAGTAACAGTCTGATCTCTCTTTCTTTTCCCCACATTTCCCCCTTTTCTTTTCAACAAAACCGCCATCGTCATCATGGCCCGTTCTTGATGGTCGCTGTCTCTTCGGAGCTGTTGGGTACACTTCCCAGACGGGGCAGCCGGGCAGAGGCGCTCCTCACATCCCAGACGATGGGTGGCCGGGCAGCAGCGCTCCTCACTTCCCAGACGACGGGCAGCCGGGCAGAGGCGCACCTCACTTCCCAGACGGGGCGGCCGGGCTTAGGCATTCCTCACCTCCCAGACGGGGCGGCCGGGCAGAGGCGCTCCTCACCTCCCAGACGGGGCGGCCGGGCAGCGGCGCTCCTCACCTCCCAGACGGGGCGGCCGGGCAGAGGCGCTCCTCACCTCCCAGACGGGGCGGCCGGGCAGAGGCGCTCCTCACCTCCCAGACGGGGCGGCCGGGCAGAGGCGCTCCTCACTTCCCAGACGGGGCGGCCGGGCAGAGGCGCTCCTCACCTCCCAGACGATGGGTGGCCGGGCAGCAGCGCTCCTCACTTCCCAGACGATGGGCGGCCGGGCAGAGGCGCTCCTCACTTCCCAGACGGGGTGGCCGGGCAGCGGCGCTCCTCACTTCCTAGACGGGGCGGCCGGGCAGAGGCGCTCCTCACCTCCCAGACGATGGGTGGCCGGGCAGCAGCGCTCCTCACTTCCCAGACGATGGGCGGCCGGGCAGAGGCGCTCCTCACTTCCCAGACGGGGTGGCCGGGCAGCGGCGCTCCTCACTTCCCAGACGGGGCGGCCGGGCAGAGGCGCTCCTCACTTCCCAGACGATGGGTGGCCGGGCAGCAGCGCTCCTCACTTCCCAGACGATGGGTGGCCGGGCAGCGGCGCTCCTCACATCCCAGACGACAGGCGGCCAGGCAGAGGCGCACCTCACTTCCCAGACGGGGCGGCCGGGCTTAGGCATTCCTCACCTCCCAGACGGGGCGGCTGGGTAGAGGGGCTCCCCACATCCCAGATGATGGGTGGCCAGGCAGAGATCTCCCCACTTCCCAGACAGTGTGGCGGCCGGGCAGAGGCTGTAATCTTAGCACTTTGGGAGGTCAAGGCAGGCGGCTGGGAGGTGGAGGTTGTAGCGAGCCGAGATCACGCCACTGCACTCCAGCCTGGGCAACACTGAGCATTGAGTGAGCGAGACTCCGTCTGCAATCCCGGCACCCCGGGAGGCCGAGGCGGGCAGAACACTCGAGGTCAGGAGCTGGAGACCAGCCCGGTCAACAGGGCGAAACCCCGTCTCCTCCAAAAATACAAAAACCAGTCAGGCGTGGCGGCGCGTACCTGCAATCCCAGGCACTCGTCAGGCCGAGGCAGGAGAACCACGGGAGCCCGGGACAGGGAGGCTGCAGCGAGCCGAGACCACGGCAGTACAGTCCAGCCTCAGCAACAGAGGGAGACGGAAGGGAGGGGGAGGGGGAGGGGAAGGGACTGAATATTTTAATTGAAGACACAGTCACATAGCTTAAATCAGCTTCCAGGATTACTTTCCCTTTGTTGCTGTAATTTGGCATTGGTCCTTTTCTGATGTAATTTCCCCCTCTCTAGGATGTGACCACCTAAGAGGGAGGCTTCATGGTGACATAGGATTGGATAAACCAATAAACCACAATCTCGTGTCTTCCTCAACGCTTTCTCCAAAAGCTTTGAAGAACAGGGGGAATGTAAAGGAAATTTAAAAATGTCAGGACCTCCAAACTTAAGCCCAGATGCTGAGTCATGCAACACCCACTTTCAAATGAATACCTGTTACTAGCATTATGCATCAGCCAGATCCCCATGGAAAGGTAAAAGGCCTCAAGCATCTACAAAGCCCTGCCCCCACAGATCATTCATAAGTAAATTCTCTGCTGGCCTCCTATAAGCAAGGGAAACAGGAACATAGGAGAGCCAGGGTGACACCATTTTAAAATGAACTCCATTTGAAAACCAGGAAGGCACATTCTTTGCCAATCACAAACTATGGTCATAAGATTTTTCAATTGAGGAAACAGCCCAAGGATACCTACAAGGACACAATCCTACAACAAAAGAAAGTCCAGATGTCTCAATACCCATAATAGTATATGCTTTCAAGATAATTATAATTATGCTTTGATGCACTCACACACTAAAGTGTCAAGGATAGATTCCTTTCCTTCTCTTTTCTTTTCTTTCTTCCTTTTTTTTTCTCTTTCTTTCCTTCCTTCCTTTCTCTTTCTTTCTTCTCTCTGTTTCTCTCTTTCTTTTTTTTTCCCAACAGAGTCTCACTCTGTTGCCCGCGATGGAGTGCAAATGGTGTGATCTTGGCTCATTGCAAACTCCACCTCCCCACAAACTCCACCACCCTGGCTCAAGAGATCCTTCCACCTCAGCCTCCTGAGTAGCTGGGGCCACAGGCGTGTGCCACCACGCAGGCTAATTTTTGTATTTTTAGTAGAGATAGGGTTTTGCCTTGTTGCTCAGGCTGGTCTCGAACTCCTGAGCTCAAACAATTTGCTGGCCAGTCTCCCAAAGGGCTGAGATTACAGGAATGAGTCACCGCACCCAGCCAATAGTTTTCTTTTTTTTCTTTTTTTTTCTTTTCTTTTTTTTTTTTTTTTTTTTTTGAGGCAGAGGATCGCTCTGTCGCCCAGGCTGGAGTGCAGTGGCGCGATCTCCGCTCACTGCAAGCTCCGCCTTCTGGGTTCAAGCCATTCTCCCGCCTCAGCATCCCGAGTAGCTGGGACTACAGGCGCCTGCAACCACGCCCGGCTAATTTTTTGTATTTTTAGTAGAGATGGGGTTTCACCGTGTTAGCCAGGACGATCTCGTTCTCCTGACCTCGTGATCCACCCGCCTGGGCCTCCTAAAGTGCTGGGATTACAGGCGTGAGCCACCGCGCCCGGCCTTCTTTTTCTTTTTAATTTTTTTGTAGAACAAATTTTATTTTAAAAATAGGGACGAGGTCTTGCTATGTTGTCCAGGCTGATGTTGAATTCCTGGGCTCAAGCAGTCCTCCCACCTTGGCCTCCCAATGCTAGATTACAGGCATGTGCCACCAGTAGTTTTCTTTAAATCAACAGAATAATAAATTTGGTCATGCTTCCAGCCCACCCACACAGGTAGACACAGCTTAGTTCAGTCTCCACATAGAGAAGACTCCTATATACGAAAAATGTAAAGACGAGGCATTCCTCCGCTTGCTTTCTGAGGACACCCTACCCTGTATTTGAGTAGCCGTCAATAAACCTTCCCTCCCCACTGAACTCTGTGACTTGCCTGGAATTCCCTCCTGCACGAGATCCAAGAACTTTCTCTTAGGGTCTGGATTGGGACCTCTTTTTTTTTTGGCAACACAAGGACATGCCAATTGTAACTTTAGGTCTACAAACTAAGTCTAGTTCTTAATTTCTTTTTTTTTTTTTTTTGAGACTAACTCTCATTCTGTCACCCAGGCTGGAATGCAGTGATGCGATCTCGGCTCACTGCAACCTCTGCCCCCTGGGTTCATGCGATTCTCCTGCCTCAGCCTTCCAAGTAGCTGAGATTACAGGTGCATGCCACCATGCCTGGCTAATTTTTTTTTTTTTTTTTTTTTTGAGAAGGAATTTCATTCTTATTGCCTGGGCTGGAGTGCAATGGCGTGATCTCAGCTCACTGCAACCTCCGCCTCCTGGGTTCAAGCGATTATCCTGTCTCAGCCTCCTGAGTAGCTTGGACAGGCATGCGCCACCACACCCAGCTAATTGTTGTATTTTTAGTAGAGATAGGGTTTCACCATGTTGGTCAGGCTGGTCTCGAACTCCTGACCTTAGGTGATCCACTTGCCTTGACCTCCCAAAGTGCTGGGATTACAGGCATGAGCCATTGTACCCGGCCTTAATTTTTGTATTTTTAGTAGAGATGGAGTTTCACCATTTCATCCAGGCTGGTCTCGAGTTCCTGACCCCAAGTGATCTGCCCGCCTTGGCCTCCCAAAGTGCTGGGATTACAGGCGTGAGCCACCGTGCCCAGCCTAGCTCCTAAAATTAAAGTTGATTCCATGCTGATAATGTTGATCGCAAGCTTAGATAGAAGTGCAGGTGCAGAATAAAGACAAGACTCATTCCTATACCTACCCAGAGACATCTGCATACTTGACTCTTCCTTTACTCTCTTTTTATTTTCAAACATCCAATTTGTCTTATGTAAAATGTAGATTTACCAGGCAGCAGCTAGAGTCTCACAGGAATGTAGCCATTCGCCTTACCACCTGTCTGCCCTTTTTCCTAAAAGCCTTTCCCCCATTTAAGGAAATGTGTAAATACTAAATCCCCTGAAACTCTCTTGAGAAAAACAGCCACAGATGTACCTGTGGCTTGTATTTTTCCCGGAAGCACCCTCAAGCTGACTTAATAAACCTCGATGATTGAGATTTATGCCTTGGTCATTCTATTCAGATGTCAGAAGGACCCATGGGAAGACTCAGAGAGAAAGGTCTGTAGGAAGAGGCTAAGGAGCCCAATCTTCTCCCAGAAAATGGACGCTTCGGGTGGTCATGAATTGTAGGGCTATTGGTACTGGGGTGAGTAAAGAGGAAGAGAAAGAGAGCAAGGCCCCAAGGAGAAGGGGAAACAGGGAGGGAGGAAGGGGCCATGCCCTGTCCTCCCCTCCTCCAGTGTCCCTGCCCCTCTCCAACTTCAGAATTCCCATTGCTCCTTGAGAACTCAGACACTAGCTTCCCCACCAAGGCCTCCTCCCTCTGCATTCCCCCAGCCTGTCCATTCTCGGTCACACTGACTCCGAGTCTGGTCAGCTGCCTGTATGCCTGTCTCACCCAGTTAACTTAAATTCCTTGGGGTCAGGAACAATGCTTTCTTCTTATTTTCCATGCCACAGCTCCAGTTACTGTGACTGACACACAGAAATATTGGCTTGGAGTCGATTATCTCAGGGATGCAGCTCAAAGTAAATGTGTCTTGTATAGAGTGGGCATAGGGATGCTTTAATGAGGAACGAGCAAGTCCCAAGAGGAGCAAGGAAAACTTGAGCTGCAACCACTTTGCATTTCAGATGATGAATTAGAGCGGTTGTTATCGAATCTGCCACCAGAGGGCGATCCAGGTAAAAAAGATCTTCGGGCTACTCTTCAGCCCGGTGACCTGATCTTCCCCCAAACTCAGATCCTTGCTGCCTCCCAGAAACAGCAGACACCTAAGTCCAATGTAGCTTGCCAGGATCTCAGGGAATGAAATTTTATAGTTTGCTGGCATTTTCCTCAGGGGAGCAGAGGCAAGAAAACAATCAAATCCAAGTTTGCGCCACTGCACACCAGCCTGGGCGACAAAGCAAGACTCCCGTCTCAAAAAAAAAAAAAAAAGAAAAGAAAAGAAAAGAAAAGAAAAGAAAGAAAACAATCAAATCCATGGTCTGCTGTTTACTGGATGAAGAATAAGACTGCCTAAAGGCAATGTGTTTAGTACAAAGGTGTCATAAGCTCTGAGATGGTTCCTGCTTTACCAATTTCTGGAAGTGTGACATTAAAGCAACCATTCTCTTTTCTGGGCCTGGTTTTCCTCTGTAAAATGTCAGTTCAAGTTCCAGCCTGTCTTGGGATGTCATCGGCCTTTACAACCTACTTGGGCTATGGCCCTGCGATTAAGTGCACAGTGGAAGCTTAGTCCCCTTGCTTTTCTGCCTCTCTTAGGGAACCACAGTCACAGAAACCAGCACTTGCTGCCATAGGAACTGCTAATATCTTGGACATTCCCTGTATTCTCTCCCAGCCCAAACAGGCATAGCCAGAGGAGTGAGACATGCAGAAAAATGAAAGAAGCCCAGGGCATTGTTCAGCAGTGAGCCTAAAGTCTGTACATGCGATAGCATAATATTTGTGAAAATTCTTGCAAAATGCAAAGCTGATGGCATATGACTTGTAACTCATTCTTGTATATAACAGTAGATCAACATGCAACTGAAGAAAGCACTACTCAGGATGGAAGTAGCCTTGGGAGGGAGGCAAGGAGTAGTGAGGAGGGAGAGAATGAGCTGTTTCTGTAACATTTCATTTCATAAGAGAGATGGATGGACTTCAAGCATCTGTGGCAAAAGGTCACCTCAGATAAATCTGATTGGTTCCAAATTATTTTCTGTAATCCTCCCTATGTTTGACTCATTATTTTAATTAAAAAGAAAAAATATTTAAAGTAATTTTAAAAATAACAGAGCTCACCAGCCCCTTAGAGCGCAGCTTGGTCTAGGGTAGTTTCTTTAACTAGCAGAGCTTTCTGTAGATACAGACATGCGTTCACAAAGTATCTTTAGGTTTCCCAGGCCCGGAGGGGTGAGATAATACTAAGGGAGGGAGATCTGCTCTTGGAGGAGGGACCTGCTCTAACCAGCCCTGTAGCTCTGCAAATCTTTGGGATTTTGTCCTTATCTGTAAATAGGGATGACGTTTGTCCCATTTATCTCATTCAGTTATAATGTGCATCAGATAAGATGATATTTGTAAAAACAACTTGAAAATACAAAATGATGTACACAGGTATTATTTAGTTGTGAAGCTCTAAGTCCTGAGGCCTCGTTTATATTAACAATAGCAATAAAAATAACAATACAGACTGGGCGTGGTGGCTTACACCTGTAATCCCAGCACTTTGGGAGGCCAAAGCGTGCAGATGACGAGGTCAGGAGTTTGAGACCAGCCTGGAGAGTATGGTGAAACTCAGTCTCTACTAAAAATACAAAAATTAGCCGGACATGGTGGCGTGCGCCTGTAGTCCCAGCTACTCGGGATGCTGAGGCAGAAGAATCGCTTGAACTCGGGAGACGGAGGTTGCAGTGAGCTGAGATCTCACCACTGCACTCCAGCCTGGGTGATAGAGTGAGAATCTGTCTCAAAAACAAACAAAAACAAACAAACAAAAAACAATACAATGGCAAGGGAAGAAATAAAAGGAGGGTGTCTAATGTGGTAAGGAGGGAAGGAAAAATGAAGAAAGAAGAAAAACCTATTGAAAATAGCCAAGAAAACAGCTGCCCTTCTAAGATACTGACTTGAGGGCTTTCAAAATAATGGAAATTATGCTTCACAAAAAATAATCCCAATGGTCATGGTCATTAGAATTTAGAACAATATTTATATGGCTCCCTGTGGTGAATCAACAATTATTTTCTATGGCTTCAATTTTCAGAGTTTAAATAATGAACATAGCAATACCACCAAAGAAACATTCATTAAATATCAATATAAAATAAAGTGGAAGAAAAAGAGAAAAACAGCAAGCTGCTGATTGCAGTGTTTGCAACCGAGACTCTGTTCTGCAAACCCTGGGGGATCAGCGTGGATTGAGCTATTACTAGAGGTTGGGGTTAAACACGGTAGGCTATAGACTTTCTGGGGGAGAAACCAGTCAATTTCTATTCTGAAAACCTGGCACTGCCTAAGAAAATCCAAACCCTTCAAACAGAAGCTTCGCAAGAGTGTAGTTAATGGCATAAAAGAGTGCTCAGAAACTCACCCACAGAGACTTTCTGATAGCTGATGCCAGGAACAGCAAAAAGCAGAATGTCCAGTTAGGGATAGTTAACCAAGCCCCTCTCAATTCTTCTTCTTGAGGCTATCCTCTCCTCACTGGTCCCCATTTTATAATCATGCTCAAGGAGCCTAGGCTTCTCTTCTTCTCTTACAGCATGTTTAATATCACTACTTTATCCATTCTGTACTGTTGCAGGCTGAAGGTGACATTACACTTAGAGGGATCCACAGATTCAAGAGGCTGCTTGGGGAGGGCAGCACAGTGAAGTACAAGGACTTTGACATCAGAGAGGCCTGGATTCAAGTCCCAATTTCTGTGTGTGGTAACCAGTCTGCAAGACAGCCTGTGATGGTTCCTGCCTCCTCGTATTCATGTCCTTCTTAGTTCCCTTGCGCATTGAATCAGGGCTGGCTCTGGGTGACCAATAGAATGTGGAGGAAGTGATGGGGTGTGAATTCCGAGGCTAGGTCACAAAAGGCATTGTATCTTCCACCTCTTAGATCTCTCTCTCTGCGGAAGCCAGCCACCGCTCTCCAAGGACTCTCGAGCAGCTCCATCTACAGATTCACATGGAGAAGAATTAAGGGTTCCTGCCAATCACCAGCACCACTTTGCCAGCCTTGTAAGTGGGCCACCTTGGAATTGGAGCCTCCAGTTCCTACTGACATCTGACTGCAACATCATGAGAGACCCTGAGTTTGAACCACCCAGCTGAGCTGCTTCTGAGCTAACCCACTGAAACCGTGAGAAATAATTATTGTTTCAAATCCTAAATTTGGGAGTGATATGTTATATAGCCATATTAACAAGAACTTAACCTAAGTATTGGGGGCATTTAGGGCTGATATTCATTTGGGAGGCACCTGTACAGCTGTATCAATTGTTCAATTATTTAAATATTTCTAAGTTGCTTGGTAAAAAGTCCTGTGCTTGAATTAACCTGATCTTGAATTGCAAGCTCCCTGAGGTGCCTTGCAAAGACAAATCAAATCCTCCTCAGAGGAAGGTAACATTATCCTTGCCCTCAAATTATTTCAACAAGTATTTTACAAATACCATGTTCAGCACACAACCAAAGATAAACTGACATATGGTTAAAAACAGAATGTTTTTAGACACCCAGAAGACATCCTTCACTGAGGGCTTATGTGATAGAAAAATTAAGCATATGATGACAATGGATTCAGTGTATGGCCCGGAGAAAGAAACCAAAAGTTGGGAAAGGTGTAAATGGCCCTAATGGGAAAGGAAAGAGGCTTCCATTGCTTCCCAAGACTGGGACCCATCTCTAAGAATCACAGAGAACAAATCTGTCTCCTTGCTGTTCTCCAGAGGGTAGTTGGACCTCAGATGGGTTAACCAGAGAACCAGGACCCCCAGAGCGCAAACTCCCATTTTTCTGAACATTCCCATGTCCAAGTTTGTCTGGAGAACATCCAAGTTGCCTCTTCAAGGTAGCCGGCGCCATGGACCTTTAAAAGGGACCAAAGTGTTCAGAGGACCAGGAATCCTTACTTGAATGTTCTAGACTGCAAGACACCTAGAGATTCGTAGAAAACATGACTGAGGGAAAGTGCTCCTCTAACCTGAAGGATGGAGACTTAGACCAGCTAGTATCAGATTGAGGGGAAAAAATGAGGTTTTGTTTTTTTTTTCACCAAGTATGTAAAAAAATTAAAACCCACTGTAGAATATTAGCAAGATCTTCAACAAGTCTCTCATTATACAGATGAGGAAATTAAGAACCAGGAGGTTAGAAATTCAGTCCCAGCATGCTGACTCACAGAACATATGTGGACTTTTCTTATACTCCACTGCTCTGATGAATATTGTTAAACACTATTTCTTCCTTACTCTTAGGATATCAGGGCCTTGAATGTCACAGACTACCTGGCACTTGTTTCCCAACAAGCTAATATTGACCCACACAAACTGAAAGCCTCAATTTGACATTATTTGTAGCATCCCCTTGTCCTTTTCTTTCTAAACCCAAATTCCAGTATCCACTGCAACCTTCTAGGTAGGCATCCGCAAAAGGTCTTTCTTCTGATCCTGCCAACTCATCATGGTGCATGGTTTTGAGTAGTGCCATAGAGAATATCTTAATTTCTCTGAGCTTTAGTTAAGAGTGATATACACTGGAAACAAGGAGCTTCCTGCTTCCTCTTTGTAAATTTTGATAAGAGATTCCCCAGTGGTCGGAATTTGCCAGGGACCCCCAGCCCCATTCATGCATGAGCTCTTTATCCCTAAAGATGATGAAGGAGAGCCTCAGTGCCTCTCTGCCAGTCTTGGGAGGCAGGAATGATCCAAATAATTTCAAAGATTTCTCCCAACTCTAAGAACTCTGGCCATATAGGGGGAGGAATGCATTAATTACTAAAAATAATTTAAAAAATGATTTAGTATAATTTCTGGGGTGCCTACTCTGTTTTACCAACTACCCCTTCCACCTCCATCTACCACCATGATTTTCATTATCTTCTCTGCACCTCCATGGCAACCTCTGTCGTGGTCTGGAGAAACTTAGCCTTCAATTCCAACTATCTGTCAAGACCTGAGCAAGTCCACTAACTCTTCTGAAACTCAGGCTCTTCAGTAAATGGGCCTAATGAAGAGGAAAGAGGCTTCCATTGCATCCCAAGACTCAGACCCAGCTCTAGGAATCACTGAGAACAAATTCATCCACATCCACTTGCTGTTCTCCAGAGGTAGCTGGACTTCAGATGGGATAACCAGAGAACTAGAACCTCCAGAGCCCAGAGTCTTATTTCTCAAAATTCCCATGTCCAAGCTTGGATGGACAACACCCAAGTTGCCTCTTTAAGGTGGCCTGAACGATGGACCTATAAAAAGGACCAACATGTTCAGAGGACCAAGCATCCTTACCTAAATGTAAGGCTCTCTTCCTGCATCATGGCATTACTGTTAGGAGGGACTGTATTAGTTTTTTTTCACACTGCTATAAAGAAATACCTGAGCCTAGGTAATTTCTAAAGATGTTTAATTGGTCCATGAATCCACAGGCTGTACAGGAAACATGGCTGGGGAAGCCTCAGGAAACTTACAATCATGGTGTAAAGGGAAGCATGGAGAAGGGGAAGCAGGCTTGTCTTACATGGCTGGAGCAGGAGGAAGACAGAGAGGGAGGGTGCTACACACTTGTAAACAACCAGGTCTCATGAGAAGTCTGTCATGAGAACAGCACTAGAAGGATGGTGCCAAACCATTAGAAAGTGCCCCTATGTCCAATCACCTCCCACCAGGCCCCACCTCCAACATTGGGGATTACAACTGAACATGAGATTTGGGTGGACACACAGATCCAAACCATATCAGATAGTAATGAACATGGAGGAGCAGCCCAGTATCCAGCACAAAGGCCCTCAGTAAACAGAAGACTCAGAAGGAGGGCCACCCTGTCTCAGGAGCACTGATTGGCCTGCCCTTCTTTCCTTCAGCCTCCTGGAGGGCAGGGTCTGTGTCTTCTTTATCTGTACCCCGAGCCCCTAGTCCTCATGGCTAGTAGGCACTTCACGAACTCATTACTCCAACATTAGAGGTAGAGAACCGGGAGAGTGGCTAAAAACAAGATTTAGACTCTTTAAGCAGGTAATATAGAAACACAGCCAAATGTTCTTAGAGATGAGTTGTACTTTTCAGCTTTACTTGGCCTTTTAATATGACTGTTACTGCTTTAGCATATGTCAAAATAATTGACCAAGATGGGCAAAAAGTCACTAAGAATGAAAGCACTTCCATTAAGGAATATTTTATTTTCCATGAGGTCTTTGAGAGCTTAGAGAGAAATTGAAGCAATAGTGAAATAATAGACAGTAGACTGCTGCAATTAAATGTGATTTACCACAACTTAAGTATCACTTTCAGATAGTGTCAAATTAAAGCATTTAAGAAGATTGCTGAAAATAGGAGACTTTTTTCTTATCTAAGTGAAATGCTGGCACACGAGGCCTCCAAAGGGAAACTGCCAGATGCTGCTTTATGTGCTTGGCGTGTTTGTGCCTAACATCTCCATAGTGTTTTTGAATTTTACATTATCTGCAAAATTGCCACTTCATTAGAACTGCCTCAGAAACTCCCTTTTCAACGATGGAGGTAGCCGTCAACGTGCATCTGTGCTGCCCCATTCTCATTTCAGAAATGTGGGAGTTATTTTCAAAAATACCTTTTTATTTAATTTTGAATTTTGTGTGCCTTCAGGAAAAATAGTCGTTGGTTCAGGAAGTCAGAGGGATGACATTAAAATCAGTATATTTAATATCTCTCTTTGTTTAAATGGTTAGGAGCTAACAGTTCCTGAAGTTCGACCTCATTGCAGTGATATATGGCATAAATTCCCAACATAATTTTGTTTTAGCTTTGACAGTAGTCTCTTACAATTTGAGGTTTAAAAGAATTTGAGTAAAAGTGGATATAGAATACCCTTTCTTTCTTTCTTTCGCTTGCCTTATTGCCCCGGTCAGAACTTCCAATACTGTGTTGGATGGGAGTGGTGAGAGAGAGCATCCTTGTCTTGTGCCAGTTTTCAAGGGGAATGTTTTCAGCTTTGGCCCATTCAGTATGATATTTGCTGTCAGTTTGTCAGAAATGGCTCTTATTATTTTAAAGTATCTTCCTTTAGTACCTACTTTATTGAGAATTTTTTAACATGAAGGGATTTTGAATTTTATTGAAGAACTTTTCTGTGTCTATTGAGATAATAATTTGGTTTTTGTTTTTAGATATCTTTATGTGATGAATTACGTTAATTGATTTGCATATATTGAACCAGCCTTGTATCCCGGGGATGATGCCAACTTGATCGTGGTGGATAAGCTTTTTGATTTTCTGCGTATTTGGTTTGCCAGTATTTTAGTGATAATTCTTACATCAATGTTCATTAGGGATATTGGCCTGAAGTTTTCTTTTTTTGTTTTATATCTGCCAGATTTTGGTATCAGGATGATGCTGGCCTCATAGAATGAGTTAGGGAGGAGTCTCTCCTTTTCAATTATTTGGAATAGTTTCAGAAGAAAGGGTATCAGCTCCTTTTTGTATTTCTGGTAGAATTCAGCTGTAAATCCATCTGGTCCTGAACTTTTTTTTGGTTGGTAGGCTATTTATTACTGCCTCAATTTCGGAACTTGTTATTTGTCTATTCAGGGATTCAACTTCTTTCAGTTTCAGTCTTGGAAGGGTGTGTGTGTCCAGAAATTTATCCATTTCTTCTAGATTTTCCCGTTTATTTGTATAGAGATGTTTATAGTATTCTCTGATGGTTGTTTGTATTTCTGTGGGGTCAGTGGTGATATCCCCTTTATCATTTTTTATTGTGTCTATTTGATTCTTTTCTCTTAGAGGAAGTAAAATTGTCTTTGTTTGCAGATGACATGATCCTATATCTAGAAAATCCCTTCATCTCAGCCCCAAAGCTTCTTAAGCTGATAAGCAACTTTAGCAAAGTCTCAGGATACAAAATCAATGTGCAAAAGTCATAAGCATTCCTATGTACCACCAAGAGGCAAGTAGAGAGCCAAATCATGAATGAACTCCCATTCGCAATTGCTACAAAGAGAATAAAATACCTAGGAATACAGCTAACAAGGGAAGTGAAGGACCTCTTCAAGGAGAGCTATGAACCACTACTCAAGGAAATGAGAGAGAACACAAACAAATGCAAAAACATTCCATGCTCATGGATAGGAAGAATCAATGTCATGAAATTGGCCATACTGCCCAAAGTAATTTATAGATTAAATGCTATTCCCATTAAACTACCATTGATGTTCTTCACAGAATTAGAAGAAACTATTTTAAAATTCATATGGAACCAAAAAAGATCTCATATAGCCAAGATAATCCTAAGGAAAAAGAACAAAGCTGCAAACATCATGCTCCAGACTTCAAACTATACTACAAGGGAACAATAACCAAAATAGCATGATACTGGTACAAAAACAAACACGTAGACCAATGGAAGAAAATAGAGAACTCAGAAATAAGGCTGCACATCTACAACCATCTGATCTTTGACAAACCTGACAAAAACAAGCAATGGGGAAAGGATTCCCTATTTAATAAGTGGTGCTGGGAGAACTGGCTAGTTATATGCAGAAAATTGAAGCTGGACCCCTTCCTTACACCTTATACAAAAATTAACTCAAGGTGGATTAAAGACCTAAATCTAAAGCCCAAAACTATAAAAACCCTAGAAGAAAATCTAGGCAGTACTATTCAGGGAATAGGCATGGGCAAATATTTCATGACGAAATCACCAAAAGTAATTGCCACAAAAGCAAAAATTGACAAATGGGACCTAATTAAACTAAAGAGTTTCTGCACAGCAAAAGAAACTATCATCAGAGGCTGGGCACGGTGGCTCACACCTGTAATCCCAGCACTTTGGGAGGCCGAGGTGGGTGGATCATGAGGTCAGGAGTTTGAGATCAGCCTGGCCAATGTGGTGAAACCCCGTCTCTATTAAAGATACAAAAAATTAGCCGGGCATGGTGGTGCACACCTGTAATCCCAGCTACTCGGGAGGCTGAGGCAGGAGAATCACTTGAACTTGGGAGGCAGAGGTTGCAGGGAGCCAAGATTCCACCACTGTACTCCAGCTTGGGCAACAGGGTGAGACCCCATCTCAGAAAAACAAAAAAAGAAAAAAGGAAACTATTATCAGAGCAAACAGGCAACCTACAGAGTGGGAGAAAATTTTTGTATTGTATTTATCTCACAGAAGTCTAATATCCAGAGTCTACAAGGAACTTAAACACATTTACAAGAAAAAAACAAACAACTCCATTAAAAAGTGGGCAAAGTATATGAAAAAGACACTTCTCAAAAGAATACATTCATGCAGCCAACAAACATGAAAAAAAGCTCAACATCACTGATCATTAGAGAAATGCAGATCAAAACCACAATGAGATATCATCTCATGCCAGTCAGAATGGTTTGTATTAAAAAGTCAAGAAACAACAGATGATGGCAAGGCTGTGGAGAAATAGGAACGCTTTTACACTGTTGGTGGGAATGTAAATTAGTTCAACCATTGTGGGAGACAGTGTGGTGATTCTTCAAAGACCTAGAACCAGAAATACCATTTGACCCAGCAATCCCATTGCTGGATATATAACCAAAGGAATATAAATAATTCTGTTACAAAGATACATGCACACATATGTTCATAGCAGAACTATTCACAATAGCAAAGACATGGAATCAACCCAAATGCCCATCAATGATAGACTGGATAAAGAAAATCTGGTATGCATATACCATGGAATACTATAAAGCCATAAAAAGGAATGAAATCATGTCCTTTGCAGGGATATGGGTGGAGCTGGAAGCCATTACCCTCAGCAAACTAATGCAGGAACAGAAAATCGAACACCGTATGTTCTCACTTATAAGTGGGAGCTGAACAATGAGAACACAGGGACACAGGGAGGGGAACAACACACACAGGGGCCTGTCGGGGGGTTAGGTGTGGGAAGGGAGAGCATTGGGAAAAATAGCTGATGCAGCTGGGCTCAATACCTAGGTGATAGGTTGATTGGTACAGCAAACCACCATGGCACACATTTACCTATGTAAAAAACTGCACATCCTGCATGTGTACCCCAGAACTTAAAATTTAAAAAGAATGGATATAGATATAAATATGTAAGTATAGATGATATAAACATATTGATATGGGTGGCAAGGTAGGAAACTATTAGTTTCATTTGTAAATTTAAAAAGCAATACACCTACACAGAAAAGAGGATTCAGCCTGGGGTTCAACAAATTAGTGTGGTTTATTCCAGGCTGAGGTCAAGGCTTGCTGTGGTTCAAGTGCCTAAAGTTTATTTCCCAGGAAAAAATAAAGTGGAGATTTAAAAGCAGTGGTCAGAAAGGATAACTTTTTTTCTTTTCTTTTGAGACAGAGTCTTGCTCTGTCACCCAGGCTAGAGTGCAATGGCATAATCTCAGCTCACTGCAACATCTGCCTCCCAGGTTCAAGCAATTCTCCTGCCTCAGCCTCCCAAGAAGGTGGGATTACAGGCATCTGCCACTGCACCCAGTTAATTTTTGTATTTTTAGTAGAGATGGGGTTTCACCATGTTGGCCAGGCTGGTCTTGAACTCCTTACCTCAGGCAATCCACCTGCCTCAGCCTCCCAAAGTGCTGGGATTACAGGCGTGAGCCACCAAGCCCGGCCAGAACATTTTTGCAATTAGCAAAAGCCAAGGTGAATTACAGTTGATAGTTTGCATGAACAATATTTGACAAGCTTGATAAAATATGTGGGATATGAACACTTTGTTGATGACAATTTACATCAGATCTTATATAAAATGTTAATATTTTATCTTTTATTCTATAACTAACTTACTTTTTTTTAAACAAGTGAAATGTTTGTTTGTATAGACGTGTGAACATGAAGTTCCTTTTGTGTTGATATAACATCCAGTTGTTTGTTTATTGGTTAAAAATGATAATGTTCAACCCCATTGAAATGAGGGGAGGCAGAAAGATGCTGACCTCAGTAACTTTGGAAATGTTTTAGTGTGTAATACTAAAGGTGAAAAGAACTGAATTTAAGCACTGTACTGTAGTTGATAATATTGCTTCCCATGGGTCAATAATTCTGATACTCATATATATATATATATATATATATATATATATATATATATAGAGAGAGAGAGAGAGAGAGAGAGAGAGAGAGAGAGAGGAATTAAATAATTGAGTAAATGAATGGCAAGTGTTGGGAACAAGATTTCTCTCTTTTGGGGTGAAACTTTACAGATAAGCAAGGGAATCAGGAGAATAGAATGATCCATGTGGTAAAGGATTACAGTTGGAGAGATCAGTAGGAACTCATGTCTAGCTTAATATAAATGTAAATGGTTACACATAGAAATATTTATAGATATGTTTTATATACAGGTGAGTATACATTCATATATTTCCTTGCTTTGTGAGGTGAAAGTACCTGAATGAAACAACACCCAGTAGCCACTAGCACACCTAGCTCCCAGATCTGTTTTTGATGCCATTCTTCAGTAAAAGGAAGCAAGGCTGCTTGGAGAAATTGCTATCAAGGACTGGGGTAGAAAATATACAAGATGAAATTGGAGCATCTTGTAGTGCTTGAAAGTAAGGAAGTGTTGTTTTTGTTGTTGTTGTTTTAAAAAGCATTGATGGGAATATGTCAAAAGGACCGCAGAAGAGCTCTGTGTGTGTGAAAGAGCTCCCAATGACAAAACTGGAATGATTATTTAATTGACACATATTAGATATACATATTTTGGGGGTACGTGTGATAATTTGATACATCCATATAATCAAATCAGGATAATCAGATACCATCACCTTAAATATTTATCTTTTCTTTACACTAGGAACACAGCTTGAACAACAAAATAAATAAAATGATGGTGGATTATAAAACAAACTATACTTGTATAAATAAATTACTGAATAAATAAATAAATAGAGAAGATGAGGCAAATATCCCATGTTGAAGAATTCCAAATAATTGATGTAGATACTGTGCTCTCAAGGAGGGGGGCATAAATTTTCACTCCTAAGTGTGGGCTGCTCATAGTGACTTCCTTACAGAGAACACAGTGTGGTAAAGGGACGGGGTGAAGGGTAACCTTGCCGTGGAGAAATCTGACAAACACGTCTTCAGCCATCAAGGTCAACATCAACAGTGAAAGGTCATGTTGTTAGTATGTTCCCTTGATATGTGATGAAAATGGCACGTTACCTTTGGGGTCCTCCTCCTCAAGAAACCAGCCTAATCATGAGAAAAGTGTAAAATTCCAATAGACGGGCATCCTACAAACTACTTGACCAATATACCTCAAAATTATTAAGGTCATAAAAAAAGGAAAGTCTGAGAAACTGTCACATCCAAGAGGAGCCTAAGGGAACATGGTGACCAAGTGTTATGTGATATTCTGGATGGGATTCTAACACCTAAATAGGACATTAGGTAAAAATAAGGAAATCTGAGTAAAGCATGGACATTAGCTAATAATAATAACGTATCAATATTGGTTCATTAATTGTAACAAATGTACCACAGAAATTTAAGATGATAGCCATGGGGGAAACTCGGTACAGGCATATGGGAACTCTACTGTTTTCTCAACTCTTCTGAAACTCTAAAACTGTTCTTTAACAATTCAGTCTATTGTTAAAAACTCAAACAAAATGATACGGGCTATAGGCTGGATTACAATTCAAGGCTATGGACATACACAGAAGAATATTATTAACATTGATTTGACTTATTAACAGCAAAGGTATTTAATTTTCCGAAAAGATTTTCAATTGACCAACTTAAACACTTTATTCTCCAAGCATGATCTACACAGTTTGAGAAATATAATAAGAGAAACTGATAAGGTTTTTTCAGCATTGCAATAATCACCTTAGCTCTTACCTGCCTGTTTAATCCTTACAATAACTCTAGGAGGAATATGCTGTCTCCATTTTAAAGATGAAGAAATTGCAGTTTAGTCGATTGCCCAAGTTTGGACAGTTAGTAAACAATAAACAAAGATTTGAACTTGGGAAGTGTGAATTCTATACCCACAGTCTTAACCCTATGCTGCACACATACCAACATTAACAGCTGAAAATATTCCCAATAACTGAGTTGACTGACTTGCTATATGCTGTTATCAGCAACATAATAGTTAGAAATTGATGGCAGCTATTATGAATAAGGACTTTTGCTTTAGACAAGTTGATTTGTAGATTATTTTTCTGGCAGAAATTTGAAACCAGAGAACTGTTGACTATTGGATATCCTATGATTTTTTTTAATAGAGACGGGGTCTCACTTTGTTGCCCAGGATGTTCTTAAACCCTTGGGCTGACGCAATCCACACGCCTCAGCCTCCCAAAGTGCTAGGATTACAGGTGTTAGCTACCACACCTGGCTATTTTTTAAAAATCATAAAATGTGTGAAAAAATTACCATGTCAGTAAAAATTCCCTTCACACCAGAATTTGGCATAGTGTAGAAACAGGTTATTATTGAACTTAGAACATCAGGTTTTTGCCTGAAAAATTATTTCTACTTATCAAGAAATGTTCTTGAATGGAAGTGAACATTATGTCCAAGGCACTGACCTTTCATAAAAATAAACTGGAGAAAAATGCTTTTTTGAAAATAAGGACATTGACCTCACTGTTGGCTACTCTTAATGTGTTGTGTGTGAAATTCTGATTAAAGTATGATAACATTTCAAAAGTGTTGCTTAACCTAGTATACACTTTCAAGATATAATCTTTGACTGAGGAAGACTCAGTCTAGCGAAAGTCTTTTCTATAATGTGAACATGACTTTCAGACGAAGATGGTGATGGTACCATCAATATTTTGCCTTAAGAAACTTAAGAACTTAATACAAAAAATTTAAATGTACTCCCTTTAAGGGAAAGCCACCAGCAATTTCTAAACTTAAAGCAGGAAGATGAAAGGATAGAATAAATTGTGCCTTATATTCTACAATTCCAGAAGAAACATGAGCCCAACTCCGGGGTTGCACACAGTCATGCCAGTGTGATTT
Source organism: Homo sapiens (assembly GCF_000001405.40). Lineage (NCBI taxonomy): Eukaryota > Metazoa > Chordata > Mammalia > Primates > Hominidae > Homo > Homo sapiens. The sequence goes on along the minus strand of NC_000020.11, from coordinate 5,434,668 downwards.
GGGGAGGAATCCTGAGGCTCCAGCCCTGGGCTCCAAGTTTTGATCCCTCAGCATTGGGTACAGAAGGCAGATTGATGCTGCTGGTGTGGAATTTCCTGGGGCCTGACTTCACTAACTCATCACATCTCATCATTCTTCCGTTCTCTCCTCTCTGAGTCCTTTTCTTCAGCTGTTGCACCATTTCTACTTTGTTCAGAGGGATAATGCTGGAAGGTATAGGATGTCAAGTTCACTCTGCTTTTATTTTTTATTCCCTTTGGCAGACAGTTGGCATCTGTGTGAAGATGTGAATGGAGGAGGCAGAGTAGGCAGTGAGTGCCGCAGCCACAGCTTGTGTTCTCTGCAGCCCTGGCACAGAAGATAGGAACACTCATGGGGGATGCGGCCACTGTGATGTCTTCCCACACAAGAAGTGCCAAGTGCTTTTCTCATGCTTTTCTGGATTGTCCCATGGTGGACGAGTCAGCAGGAGTGAGATGGAGCAGCACAGTAGAGGGGTACCTGGCAAGGCCCGGAGGGAGGACCCCCTGCCCCAAACATTTCAATGATATCAGGTGACAGCCGTGATCCTCTTAGCACCTGCTCTGTTTTGTCCCAGGCCAGGATATCGTTGTACATATTCTCAGCTAAGTGAGCACCAATAGAGGAGAGGGAGAGTCTCATGGAAGTTCCTTCTAAGCCTTTGGCTCTTTTTACCTTCAACAAGGTGTGCCACCTCTTTGATCCAGCAAGTGGGAAGAACAGTCCCGGCCTCTTTGCACACAAGACCGTGATACCAATGCACCATCACAGGCCCCACAGGGGAGCTGTCCGCTTCCCCACACAGCTGCTAGGGGCTCTTTTGCATGTTCCCAACCTTTCCTGCCTTTATCTGATATTCGTAAGTACAATTGTAGAAAAGGGAAGGGCTTTACTAGTCAGCAAGTGTCAGCAGGTTGAGGATCCTCTAAAGGCATCTTGGAAAATCAAGGAAGGAGACACATGCCTAATTCCTATGCTCTGTTACCCTGGCCTCCAGCAAAGTCTACCCTCATATCAGAGAGACCCATTGTAGATAAATATGGGCTGCCAAAAGCAAGACAAGCCTTGGGCAAACTGCCCAACAGATGGTTCAACTCTGTGTGTACCAGCCAAGGGCCAACGTGTCAGACAGTAGCTTCTGTTTGTGCCTTAAGTCGGAGTTGTGAATATAAGATAATTCCGGGATGGCAGGGATCCCACAGTTATGGATGTGGGATGGTTTAGTTCCATCCAAGACAAACTTAGGACATCCTCTTTCAGGGGTTTGAATACACAGCTTTCTCTGCTACCCCCTCAAAGCGTTGGCCACCAGAGCGGAGTGGTTAGAAGGGTGAAGGGCTTTAGACAGGAGGGAAGGAATGTCCTTGCATGGCTTACAGGATGGGGACCCTAGCCAAGATCTTGGTGCTTTGGCCTGCAGGCAGCATCAGAAGCCAGCCCAGGGAGTGGGGCAGTGGCCTTGTACAGAGGGCTAGTGGTGGCTAAATTTATGTGTCAACCTGACTAGGCTAAGGGATACTCACACAGTGGGTGGAACATGATTCCTAGGTGTGTCTGTGAGGCTGTCCCCTAGAGGTTGGAATTGGACTCAGTGGATTGGGTGAAGATCTGCTCTCACCCGTGTGGGTGGGCACCGTCCAATCCACTGAGGGCCCGAATAGAATAAAAAGGTGGAGGAAGGATGAATTCACTCCCTCTACTTGAGCTGGGACATCCATCTTCTCCTTGGACATCTGTGCCCTGCTTCTCAGGCCTTCAAATCCTGGGACTTACACAGGCTCCCCCACCCCCTGTCCCCCCAAGGCTAGTCCGATTCTCACTCTGTTGGACTTGAACCAAATTACACCACTGGCTTTTCTGGTTCTCCAGCTTGCAGCCAGCAGATGGGAGTACTTCTCAGTCTCCATAACCACATGAGCCAATTCCTATAATAAATCTCATAGCTATTGATCTATAACTATTTATTCTCTGGGAAACCTTTACTAATACAGGGCTCTTGTTTCCCTCAGGTTCCTTAGATCCTGGGATGAGGAGGTGGACCAGCAGAAGGTGGGCTTGTGAAGGCAGCCCGGGGTCCAAATCCTCCTGGCTCTTCAGCTTAGCGGGTTAGTTAACATTCAGAAGCCTTCATCTCCCATCTGCAAAATGGGCATGTCCAACTCAGAAGCTGCCTTGAAGAAAGGGTCTACCCAGCATGGTGCGTGGAGCCTAAGCAGTCAGTACTTCAGGACTTCACCCGGCCCCTTTCCAATAACTGCTGCTGTCGCCCTCACAGGATGTCACCTTCAGCGTCTGAAAGCTGGGTTTGATGCGTCTGGAAAGGCGTCCCTGACAGGCGTCGTTGCCAGGAGCCCCTAGTGCCACCAGCAGCCAGCAGGGGAGGGCGTCCTCTGCCCGCTCACTTCTGACCCTTCTCTCGTTGCACCCGGAACATGGTGCAGCTGGGAGCAGCCTGGGCTGCGCGGAAGGCTCAGATTTGGGGACGGCCCTTGCCAGTGACTGTGAGCTGGGGTGTCTTGGAAACTCCCAGTCTCAGCTTCTCCATTTATAAGATGAGAATGATCATACCAGACTCAGGCAAGGTTGTTTGTGCATTAGTGAAATCAGACGTATTAAATAAAGTACCACATTGATCGTGGAGTTGTTGAATAACCAAGAACACGCCTATCTGTCTCCAAAAAATAAATGTTGAAAATGATGAGGGCGTGGCTCTACGTTGGGAAGGGAAATAGGGTGCTTGGATGAGAGAATCCTGAGGCATGGGACAGTGGAGGGATCCAGGATAGTTCCATAAGAAAATGTGCTTGCACTATCGTTTCTTTGCAGAGGCTCTTGTGTGCTGGGAGGCTGGCTGGGATGGGGAGTTGGTGGCAGAGAATAGTGTCTGTTTTCTTCCTGGTAGCTGGAGAGCTCTGCGACAGAGGACTGAGGTCATTAGGAACAAGCGGGCAGGTAGGGACAGGCGTTGGAGTGGACTAGCCCTGGTTCCCCTGAAGCTCTCTGGGGTGGAGGTGAAGGAGCTTCTAGGGCAAAGTTTGCCAGTTAAGGAGGAGACACTGTTTGGGCTGCTCCCCGAAATGGAGAACTTTTGTGTGTGCCTGGAGTGTTTCTATTTGAGAAAAACTATTTGAGAGGTGGGAAGGTGAATTATTTACCAGTAAGTTTATCCTTCTCTCCTCAGATTCTGCAGAACTTGCAGACCCATAAACAAATTAGAAATTGCTTTTCTCCTCTTGCTTAACCTAAATTTCTTTGTGGAAGCTGAAGGAAAATATGAGTAATTTTCTAACATATTCAGTTACAGAGACAGCAAAGAGAAATATTCAAGAAAAAAAAAAAACAAACCCTGAGGTGCTACTGACTTCGTGTATGTCTTAGCTGTAGACAGAATTGGGATTTCCTAATATGGGTTTGTTCCAGTACAGCCCCTCAGAAAGATTTTCATCAGCAAAACACACATTGGAGGACCAGCTGCTGTGCAGTTGTCTCTTTTAAACCATTTTCTCACTTCATTGCTAATTTTCCCAGCACCTTTCTTCTAACAGTTCTACATTTTTGATCTGCAAACAACCTGAGATTATTTCTTTCCCTCTTGGTAAATAAAAGAAATTTAAAGTAGATTCTAGAATGGGTTAGACTGTTTTATTCCAGATCCCTCAAAAAGAAGGGATAAATACTTCTTTAAAAGAATCCCTTTAAAAGAAGGGATAAAGTTTAAGCCATAAATACAATAAATGGTGAACTGCCTGGTTAACTGAGGGCTGATTCCCGGAGACGCAACCAGGGGGAGCTTCCTGAGCAAGGTAGCTACTCCCTGCCAAGGTAACCACAGCTTTCTAACAATAAGTAAAATGTTTCTACTCATATCATAGGGACCCTACAACAACATGGCCCTTTTCTCTCTGCCATGCAAAAAAGCATCAAGAAAGTAAGAAGGGGCATTTTTGAGAACAAACTAGAAATCTTAGCATCATGTCTTCTCTCTAATTATGTTGGAAACAGGCTTTGAAAAAGAAAAAAACTGAGGAGAAGATCACTAAATAGAATTCAATAAAAATGGCTTTTGATATTCTGTAGCTTGAAAGCATTTGTATTGGGTTTATGTTCTCATGGTTTTTGTTTCAAAGAGTTTAAGGTAAATTTGAATGTCCCATTCCTCTGAGAACTCAGAGAAAGCCAGGTTGATTAAGAAGTAATTAAGAGGCTGGGCGCGGTGGCTCACACCTGCAATTCTAGCACTTTGGGAGGCCGAGGCGGGCCAATCACCTGAGGTCAGGAGTTCGAGACCAGCCTGGCCAACATGGTGAAACCATGCCTCTACTAAAAATACAAAAATTAGCCAGGCATGGTGGTGCATGCCTGTAATCCCAGCTACTTGGGAGGCTTAGGCAGGAGAATCACTTGAACCCGGGAGGCAGAGGGTGCAGTGAGTTGAGATCGTACCATTGCACTCCAGCCTGGGTGACAGAGCCAGACTCTGTCTCACACACACAAAAAAAAAAAAAAAAAAAAAAGTAAGGCCAGATTCAAGCTTACTTCTTAGGAAAAAAAAAAAAAAAGGTAATTAAGAACAGGTAGACATTTTAGATAAACTAGCTAATTAGCATTCATAGTTCCTTAAGTTTTGCTCTAATAGTCTGTTATGTTTTGCAAGTATATGATGTGCATATGTAGATATAGTAGTTTATCATTAAGCCTCACCTCGTGATTATTAAATGTGATACTTTGCTCTTTTAATACTTGCAGTTCCTATTTTTAATGTGCAACAAAGTGCACAATTTTCCTTTGGTTCCAGGGAATTTGGTTAATGGAAACTCAGCTATTTTTCCCTAAGTCCCTTTTAGTCACACAAAGGTAATTCACCTGAATTTTCAGTAAATCTCACGGGAGAAAAGAATCAACTTTGGTGGTTCTCAACCTAACTTTTTTTTTCCCCAACCCAGTTTTTGTTCGGCCTCCACCGCATTTACCAAGTAGAGTAGCAACTGTGGAACTATTGCATTCTTTCTACTGAAAAGATACTATTGAAAGGAGACAGAACTTGATCTATAGAAAAAGGGAAATCATTCTTTGGGTATGGAGGCCAAAGGAATTTCAAAGACTACAACCTGCTATTAAACTGCTATATAAAGAGAAGAGCAAGTATTAAACAGAACCCTGAGACACTCGAATTTAGGAACCCGCATTGACCTTACCCTACAATTATTCCCCAATGAGGAGTGATGAGTGGCAAATGACAGTCCCTGACTGGGAGAAAGAGGCAGGTTCAAGACATAGTCTCCCTTATCCTGGTATCCTCATCTCTAAAACATTCACTATTCTTTTTTTTTTTTTTTTTGAGACAGGATCTTACTCTGTCACCCAGGCTAGAGTGCAGTGGTGGGATCTCTGCTCACTGCAACCTTCACCTCCGAGGCTCAAGCTCTTCTCCTGCCTCAGCCTCCTGAGTAGCTGGGAGTACACTCACCTGCCACCATGCCCAGCTAATTTTTGTATTTTTTAGTAGAGATGGGATTTCACCATGTTAGCCAGGCAGGTCTCAAACTCCTGACCTCAGGTGATCTGCCCACCTCAGCCCCCCAAAGTGCCGAGATTACAGGCATGAGCCACTGTGCCTGGCCTAATACTCACTATTCTGTCTCTCTCACCTTACGGGGTTGCTATGAAGTTTAGTGAGTTCAGGTATGTGACTCTAGAGGGGGCTGAGTATGTATAAGGTAGGGACCATGTTCTTGATGACTTTTGCATCCTCCCAGCACAGCTTTTGTGGAACTGTACTTTAGCTCTGTGATGGCACATGTGAAATGAAATAAATGTACACAATAAAGAAAAACACAAATGAATGTAAGACACATTTTCCAGTTCAGATTAATAAGAAGAGGCTTAGTTCTCATCTCCTTCCCCCAAATTTGACTTTACAGGGTTGCTTAGACTCAGTGGTGTGCTGGAGCAGGCTCCTACCAGCTAGAAAGAACCAGTTCAATACGTCTCTTCTCAACTCCATGTTCAGAGTTGTCAGGTTGGTAGCTTGAAACTGGCCATGCTGGAAGTATTTACAGCATGAAAATTGGCAGGTGCTACATATTATGGCTTTTTTTTTTTGTTTCAGAGAACCAATTGTTAAATATTTACTGGCACTCCACTGCTTAGATTTTACCAGTGCTTGTAAGTAATTTTCGTTTGATTTTACAGACTATGGTATCCATGAGTGTTACGGTTTTAGGGGATATGGAGTGAGCTGAAAACCAAAAGAAAAGCTCCATTCATTCACTACTCACAAATGCATCTTTGCCACTTCCCACAGACAGTATGGAGACAGACATGGTCTTAGGTCCATTCGCATTAGTCACCCTGCACAGAGACTGTGGACTGTAGTGCGTGCCTTGATTCTAGTGAAGGCCTCCTAAAGTCACAACTCTGAGAGGAGATTTGAAGCTAGGAGACCTAGGTTCAAGTTCCTTCTGAGCCATTACCAACTGTGTGATCTTTGTCAAATAATCTGATTTCTGTCATTTGAGCTGATTTCTTTGGATTGCTCATTTGTAACATAGGATAAATACTTATTTCACAGGCTTGTTAGAATAAATGGGATATTGCATGTAAAACACTCAGCATGTGGCCTGACCTATAGTGACCTCTAAATAAAAGAAGGGCAGCTATCCATCAAATTACCACGGTCATCCCAATGCTCGTCATCATGAAGGGATCATGGGTAGTCACCATGGTTCATAACTATCCGTGAAAAGGCCTTCTAAGGTCACAGGTGATTGAACCATGGTTTACTTACTCCATCTTTTTGTTTGTTTGTTTGTTTGTTTTTGAGACAGAGTCTCCCTCTGTCACCTAGGCTGGAGTGCAGTGGCATGATCTTGGCTCACTGCAACCTCCACCTCCCAGGTTCAAGCGATTTTCCTGCCTCAGTCTCCTGAGTAGCTGGAATTACAGGCACCTGCCACCACGCCCAGCTAATTTTTGTATTTTTAGTAGAGACAGGGTTTCACCCTGTTGGCCAGGCTGGTCTTGAACTCCTGACCTCAGGTGATCCACCCACCTCGGCCTCCCAAAGTGCTGGGATTACAGGTTTGAGCCACCATACCTAGCCTACTACATCTTTATAAATCCCTGATAATCTTAGATTCTCTACTGGAGCCAAGAAATCTCTTTGGGCTCTCTTTTCCCTTGATAAAGCTCCATAGAACAACCAGGTCAAACAACAGGTCAAATATTAGCATTTTATAGCTTTTAAATATATCATCCAATTAATTTAAAAACCATCATATCTCACTGTTGCTTAATAAGAAAAAGGAACAGAAGGAGGAGACCAAAATATTACCAAATATTACTAAGATGGAGCGTGTAGTTTAGTGCAAGAACTACATGGGCCTGCTTAATAGGACCTCAGAATTGGACAGACTTGATCCCCTCTCTCAGGCAGTGCTAACCAGGAGCTCATCCCTGGAGGAGAGGCAGAGAATGTGTACTCCCAGATGCAGCCAGCTTCCAGAAGAAGAGGTAGGAGCCAAGCAGAGCATGCCCACATCAATCTTCCAGCATTTAATGGCCATAGAAGTTACTGAACCTCCCTTGGATGGATAGAAGATGGCATTATCTTTCTTAAATATGATACCTCTTATCTTTTTGTTCCCTTGACACTTGAGGAGGGAGGCCAAGGGTTGATCATGCAAGCAAGTTTGTGCATTTTGCACATTTATTAAGTTATGCTTTTGAGGAAATTAAAAGATCACAAGGGCTTCAATTTTCTGTGACCCTTTTATTTACTTATTTCAAAAAGTGCTCAATGGGAAATGCCTACGTATTCTCCCCAGTGCTCCCATGTGGGGATATGTCCTCAGTCCAAAGATATTCCTCAGTCTAGGAGTTCACAGTTGGATGGTATAAACAAGTGTATTAACTCATCATTACAAGACCAAGTGACAAATGCTGTTCTGAAATATGACTAAGGGGCTATGGGAGGATACTTTATCTAGGAACATCTGAAAAGACTTTTCAAGGGAAGTCTTTAAGGATGAGCAGGCCTTTGTCCATAAGAGCTTTCTGTAGCTTCTAAATAGATGGTGATATAGATACATCCCAACATTTTTCTCCATAGGTGTGTTTCACTGGAAGTTGTAGGGGAGAGCTCCTGTTAATGTCTCTTTACCTTTCATCTCAGCCCTGTGTCCTACTCCATTTGTCTTCTGATAGCCAGTTATAGATAAACTATTAACACTCCACACTCTGTGGCTGCCAAAGCATTTGAATGAAAAACCAACATTTCAGGAAACCACAGTGGGTCATGGAGGCTTCTATTTTACCTACGTTGTACCTATCAAAGTGGTTTCCAGTCCTTTAGTTCAGGGGTCCCCAACCCCCATGCTGTGGACCAGTACTGGTCTGTAGCCTGTTAGGAACTGGGCCACACAGCAGGATGTGAGTGGTGGGCGAGCAAGCATTACCACCTGAGCTCCTCCTCCTGTCAGATCAGCAGCAGCATTAGATTCTCACAGAAGCACAAACCCTATGGTGAACTGAGCATGCAAGGGATCTAGGTTGCACGCTCCTTATGATAACCTAACTAATGCCTGATGATCGGAGGTGGAACAATTTCATCCCCAAACCATCCCTCCTACCCCCATCCCTGCCCCCATCCCAGTCCATGGAAAAACTGTCTTCCACAAAATCAGTCCCTGGTGCCAAAAAGATTGGGGACCACTGCTTTAGTTCATTTGACTCTTCATTTCCCCAGTAACACAGGCAAGACTGACATCCATTTGCAACCCCCAGTGCCATGCTGCCCATCTCCAGGGTGCAGTCTGTGTTGTGTTGGGCAGTGCCACCATGGATTGCTGACCAAGGAAAACACTTTCCTTTCTCTTTGCCACTCAAACCATCTCCCAGAGCCCCATGCTGCCTTTCCATCCTCATCCAAGATGATTCCATGACCCCTACCCCTACTCTTTCCCATACTTCAGACCCTCTCTAGGAAAACCCATCTTTCTACTGTCCCATTCTTTAGGACCCAACTCTCTGTAAGAGATGAATGAATGCATGTCAAGGGGTTAGTGAGTTATTAACAAGTTGGTCCTTTTCAGATTAATCTGGTATTTTACTTGGGCCTTCCTGGAGGCTGGACTTTAACCCAGAGAAATGAGTGAGGCGGGAAATTCCAGTTTGGGAACTGACAGCCTAGGCAGGGGTGATGGTGGAGATATTTTGGCATAGGAGGGTATTTAGGGCATCTGTAGCCTCCGATTTTACATAGTCATAAACAGGAGACTTGGACATTTAGCAGGATTATAGTTTGGGTCTCCTTAACAGGAGCCAAAGATATATTTGCAAACTTATTGAATACACACACACAGAGACACTGACAAAAATATTAACCTGACTTTTTCTAACTAATTATGTCTATATGGAGGTGGTTCAAATGCTGGTAGAAGCATAAAAGAGTGATATGATTTTTGTCTGCCTTTGAAGGTGGGTTTAATTGGTTATTTGTGCTGAGTCTGGATTGCAGGGGAAATAAAATTTGGATTTTCATCTACATACGATTTTAGTCTCTACATATTACAATAAAAGGTTGGGATTTGTCTTCTTTTTTTCCTTTCCCATCTTTTGCAAACAAGTTGCAAATGATGGGAAGGAAGCTCTCAAATGATCTTTCCAATTTCCAGTCATCATATTTCCACAATTCTATACCAAGAATAGATCTGGATCTTACTTTTCTTAAGGTCTGGCTTTAAATTAAAATATCCCGAAAGGCTTATAATAAAAAACCACAGTCTCCTGCCTCCAAGTTCTGCTCCCCAGAAACATTTACTTTTAACTCTTTTCATCATTTCTTCTGGTTGTTTCCCGCATTTAAAAAATAACATAATTGAGTCATAATTTTATGATTTATCCACATTAAACTCTATTAGCTCCCTGTTATGCCAGGTGAGGAGTTAACTTTATATATCCCCCAATCCCTTCTTCTCAAGGTAGTTATATTAATACCATCTTTTAAATTATTTGTCAATATTTATGTTATTATGATTTGAAAAATATTGTTTATGGCAAAGTTCTCAGTGTACTGTGAAAGCATTTCCTTTCTTAGGTAGCTTCAGAAAAGTGGTTGTAATCATCTTTTTGAGTGGGATATCAAGACCCTTGCTGATATAGACACCTTCTCCAGAGAGAAAACCCCTCAACTCTTAAGGACATGCAGAGGCCTTAGGGCTGGTACACCAAAGTCTGACCTATCACTGTCGCTATGATCACTAGTTTGCATGCATAGCTCAAAGGAGGCTTGGTATGTCAGTTGTACCTAAGGAATGCTTTCTGTGTACATGTGTCCCATGCTTTAAATGTAGGCTGCAGGAGCAGGGTGTATGTCCTTGGATAAGCATGGCTTTCGGAGTCAAGAAGACCAGAGTTTAAATTATCATGGTAAGCAGAATACTTACCCCCGCAAGTGGTCCATGCCCCAGTCCCTGGAACCTGTGAGTATGTTATCTTACTTGGCAAAAGGGACTTTGCAAATGTCATTAAATTAAGGATCTGGAGATGGGGAGATTATCTTGGGTTATCTGGGTAGGTCCCATGTAATCACAAGGGTCCTTGTGGGAACTTTATAGGACCAAGGAAAAGGGGGAGGCAAGAGAGTCAGAGGAGATGTGATGACAGAATCAGAGACTGGAGTAACACACTTTGAAAATGGAGTGAAGAGCCAAGGAATGCAGGCAGCATCCAGAGGCTGGAAAATGTGAGAAAATGGATTATCTTTTACAGCCACTAGAAAGAACAGAGCCCTACTGACCCCTTGCTCTCCCACTGCCCTAAACCTCCACCTTCCATGATGAGGGGCCCAACCTGAGAAACTGAGGTCCATTGCCAAACAGCTGCACATGCAGCTGGTCTGGGAGTCAGAGATGCTGAGGGGTGACCCAGCAGGAGCTGCAGCAGCCACAACCAGGAGGCTGAGCTTATGGACAGGTAAGCCAGCAGGTGAGTGATGCCATGCACAAGCAGCAACAGCACACTGATCCCCTAAGAGTACTGGGAATATGGCTGCCATTTCACTTCCATCTTCCAAATCTCTCAGCACATCTCCTGTGGCCATGCTCACTTACACATGTGCAAGGAAGGTAATTCTGGAAAACCTACTTCCAGCTAGGTTAGGTTGACACAATCCAGATCTACCCATCCTGTGTGCAGGATTCTTCTCAGCATGATGCAGTGTGGTACTCAGCAACCGTTCTTCCATGTTCTGGAGAGCATGAAAGAAGTTAAGACAGGACCTCTGTTTTCAAACTGTCATTTGCCGTCTGTATTAGTTTGCTCGGCTGCCACGACAAAATGCCAAAGACTGGGTGGCTTAAACAACAGAAATCTGTTTCCTCACAGTTCTGGAGGCTGGAAGTCCATGATCAAGGTGTCAGCAGGTTTGGTTTCTCTGGGGTCTCCCTCCTTGGCTTGCAGATGGCTGCCTTCTTGCTGTGTCTTCATATGGTCGTCCTTTTATGTATGTTTCTGATGTCTCTCTGTGTGTCTAAATGCCCTCTTCTTTTATTTGTTTACTTATTTTTTGAAACAGGGTCTAGCTGTGTCACCCAAGCTGTAGTGCAGAGGTGTGATCATGGCTCCCTTGCAGCTTTGACCTCCCACACACAAGCAATCCTCCCACTTCAGCCTCCTGAGTAGCTGGGACCACAGTATGGGCCAGCATGCTCAGCTAATTTTTGTATTTTTTATAGAGATGGGGTTTTGCCATTTTGCCCAGGCTGAGCTCAAGCAATTCACCCACCTTGGCCTCCCAAAGTGCTGGGATTACAGGTATGAGCCACCACACCCTGTCCTGAATGTCCTCATCTTATAAAGATGTCAGTCAGGTTTGATTAGGGTCAGCTCTAACACCCTTGTTTTAACTTAATTACCTCTTTGAAGGTCCTGCCTCTAAATACAGTCATATTCTGAGTTACTGAGATTGGTGTTTCAACATACATAAGGATTTGGGGGAGTCACAATTCAGCCCATAACACTGTCCAATAAGCCAAGACTTACAAATAGGGTGATCACACATTCCAATTTGCCCACAGCAGTGCTAGTTTTCACCTGTTGCTCTGGTACAATTTTTAAAAAATTTTTTATTTCAATAGCTTTTGGGGTACAAATGGTTATTTTGTTACATGAATGAATTACGTAGTGGTGAATTCTGAGATTTTAGTGCCCCCATCACCCAAATAGTGTACATTGTACCTAATGTGTAGGTTGTTTTTTTAATCCCTAGTCCCTCCTTCCACCCTCCAGCTTCTGAGTCTCTAAAGTCCATTATATCACTCTGTATGCCTTTATGTACTCGTAGCTTAGCTCCCAGTTATAAGTGAGAACATATGTTTTTTGGTTTTCCACTCCTGTGTTACTTTACTTAGAATAATGGTATCCAGCTCCATTCAAGTTGCTGCAAAAGACATATTTCATTCCTTTTTGATGACTGAGTAGTATTCCAGGGTGTATATATGCCACATTTTCTTTATCCATTCATTAATTGATGGGGGCTTAGGTTGGTTCCACAGCTTTGCAATTGTGAATTGTACTGCTACAAAAGTACATGTACCAGTGTCTTCCTCTATAATAACTTCTTTTCCTTTGGGTACATATCCAGTAGTGGTGTCACTGGATCTAACGGTAGATCTACTTTTTAGCTCTTTGAGGAATTTCTACACTGTTTTCCATAGAGGTTGTACTAATTTACATTCCTGCTAGCAGTGTATAAGCATTCCTTTTTCCTCACAGCCACTCTAACATCTATTGTTTTTTGACTTTTTAATAATGGCCATTCTTGCAGGAGTAAGTTGATATCTCATTGTGGGTTTAATTTGCATTTCTTTGATGATTAGTGATGCTGAGCATTTTTTCATGTTGGTTGACCATCTGTGTATCTTCTTTTGAGAAATGTCTATTCATGGCCTTTGTCTATTTTTTAATGGGATTTTTTTTTTTCTTGCTGATTTGAGTTCCTTGTAGATTCTGGATACTAGTCCTTTGTCAGATGCATAGTTTGTCAATATTTTCTCCCATTCTATGGGTTGTCTGTTTACTCTGCTGATTATTTCTTTTGCTGTGCAGATACTTTTTAGTTTAATCAGGTCCCATCTGTTTATTTTTCTTCTTGTTGCATTTGCTTTTGGGGTCTTAGTCATGAATTCTTTGCCTAGGTTGATGTCTGGAAAAGTTTTCCCAATGTTCTCTTCTAGAATTTTTAGTGTCAGGTCTTGTATTTAAGTCTTTGATCCATCTTGAGTTGATTTTTGTATAAGGTGACAGATAAGGACTCAGTTTTATTCTTCTACATGTGGCTTGCCAATTTTTCCACACCATTTACTAAATAGCATGTCCAGGCTGGGCGCGGTGTCTCATGCCTGTAATCCCAGCACTTTGGGAGGCCAAGGCGGGGGGTCACCTGAGGTCAGGAGTTCGAGACCAGCCTGACCAACATGGAGAAACCCCATCTCTACTAAAAATACAAAATTAGCTGGGCATGGTGGTACATGCCTGTAATCCCAGCTAGTCGGGAGGCTGAGGCAGGAGAATCACTTGAACCCAGGAGGCAGAGTTTGCGGTGAGCCAAGATCACCCCATTGCACTCCAGCCTGGGCAACAAGAGTGAAACTCCATCCCAGAAAAAATAAAAAATAAAATAAAATAAAAATAAATAGTATGTCTATTCCTCTCAATTTGTGTTTTTGCATGCTTTGTTGAAGACTGGTTGGCTGTACGTATTTTGGCTTTATTTCTGGATTCTCTATTCTATTGCATTGGTCTGTATCTGACACAATTATTAATAGCATTCTCTTTCTCTCTTAAAAGCACCCAGGACTGAATAATAAATTGTGTGTTCACACTGCATCTATGGGAAACAGTTCTTAACAGCTCAGAGTGAACCATGGTGGAAAGATCCTGTATCAGGAGACAGGGCTGCTGTTCTAACTTGGCCACTAACCCGGGGAGACTTTGGATGAGTCCCTTCACTTCTCTGGGCCTCATCCAGAAATGAGGGGTTGGAACCAGAGCCATTCCCTGATTCACTAGATCATTTATTCATTCAACAGATCCTTTTTGAGCTTCCTACTATGTTTTGGATGTTATAATTTTGGCAGATTTCAATATTAATGACAGAATGTTCCAGCTTCTCCCTGCTTTTGTCTGCTAAACGGAATTCTGGCTTGGTCCATTAGGTCTATTCCTCCCCCTGTGGAAAACTAGAATATGTCACTCTAAAATGTGCCTATTTTGCATAAGAATTGTTGAGCTGCAGGCAATTAAGAAGAAGCAGATAAGGCCAGGCACTGTGGCTCATGCCTGTAATCCCAGCACTTTGGGAAGCCAAGACGAGCAGATCACCTGATGTCAGGAGTTTGAGACCAGCCTAACCGACATGGTGAAACCCCATCTCTACTAAAAACACACACAGAAATTAGCCAGGCATGGTGGCACACACCTGTACTCCCAGCTACTCAGTAGGCTGAGGCAGGAGAATCATCTGAGCCCAGGAGGCGGAGGTTGTAGTGAGCCGAGATCGCGCCACTGCACTCCAGCCTGGGTGACAGAGCGAGACTCCATCTCAAAAAAAAAAAAAGAAGAAGCAGATAAACGAAAGCTCTCCGGCCTTCCTCTAGTTTCCTAAAGCCAGATATAGATTTACAAAGACAGAAGATACTTCACCACTCACCCCCTCTTTACCAGGGAAAACGAGGTTAACCGCTGAAGACAACTTTAGACACTTACTGGTCTGGAGATGGTACCATAGGAATCTACACTAACAAGCTTTACCAACTGGCCTTTATCTGCTATTTGTTTGCCTTTCTACAATTTGCAGCTCCTAGAGACTTAAAGTCTTTCTTTTGTCTTGTCTCTTCCCTAAAAATTGACTATTCCTTGTTGAAGATGCTATATAAGCTGGAATTCAAAGTCACCTTTTCGGGTATTCAATTAGGAAAAGAGGAAGTCAAATTGTCCCTGTTTGCAGATGACATGATTGTATATCTAGAAAACCCCATTGTCTCAGCCCAAAATTTCCTTAAGCTGATAAGCAACTTCAGCAAAGTCTCAGGATACAAAATAAATGTACAAAAATCACAAGCATTCTTATACACCAGCAACAGACAAACAGAGAGCCAAATCATGAGTGAACTCCCATTCACAATTGCTTCAAAGAGAATAAAATACCTAGGAATCCAACTTACAAGGGATGTGAAGGACCTCTTCAAGGAGAACTACAAACCACTGCTCAAGGAAATAAAAGAGGATACAAACAAATGGAAGAACATTCCATGCTCATGGGTAGGAAGAATCAATATCGTGAAAATGGCCATACTGCCTAAGGTAATTTACAGATTCAATGCCATCCCCATCAAGCTACCAATGACTTTCTTCACAGAATTGGAAAAAACTACTTTAAAGTTCACATGGAACCAAAAAAGAGCCCGCATCGCCAAGTCAATCCTAAGCCAAAAGAACAAAGCTGGAGGCATCACACTACCTGACTTCAAACTATACTACAAGGCTACAGTAACCAAAACAGCATGGTACTGGTACCAAAACAGAGATATAGATCAATGGAACAGAACAGAGCCCTCAGAAATAACGCCGCTTATCTACAACTATCTGATCTTTGACAAACCTGAGAAAAACAAGCAATGGGGAAAGGATTCCCTATTTAATAAATGGTGCTGGGAAAACTGGCTAGCCATATGGAGAAAGCTGAAACTGGATCCCTTCCTTACACCTTATACAAAAATCAATTCAAGATGGATTAAAGACTTAAATGTTAGACCTAAAACCATAAAAACCCTAGAAGAAAACCTAGGCATTACCATTCAGGACATAGGCACGGGCAAGGACTTCATGTCTAAAACACCAAAAGCAATGGCAACAAAAGACAAAATTGACAAATGGGATCTAATTAAACTAAAGAGCTTCTGCACAGCAAAAGAAACTACCATCAGAGTGAACAGGCAACCTACAACATGGGAGAAAATTTTCACAACCTACTCATCTGACAAAGGGCTAATATCCAGATCTACAATGAACTCGAACAAATTTACAAGAAAAAAACAAACAACCCCATCAAAAAGTGGGCGAAGGACATGAACAGACACTTCTCAAAAGAAGACATTTATGCAGCCAGAAAACACATGAAAAAATGCTCATCATCACTGGCCATCAGAGAAATGCAAATCAAAACCACAATGAGATACCATCTCACACCAGTTAGAATGGCAATCATTAAAAAGTCAGGAAACAACAGGTGCGGGAGAGGATGTGGAGAAATAGGAATACTTTTACACTGTTGGTGGGACTGTAAACTAGTTCAACCCTTGTGGAAGTCAGTGTGGCGATTCCTCAGGGATCTAGAACTGGAAATACCATTTGACCCAGCCATCCCATTACTGGGTATATACCCAAAGGACTATAAATCATGCTGCTATAAAGACACATGCACACGTATGTTTATTGCGGCATTATTCACAATAGCAAAGACTTGGAACCAACCCAAATGTCCAACAATAATAGACTGGATTAAGAAAATGTGGCACATATACACCATGGAATACTATGCAGCCATAAAAAATGATGAGTTCATGTCCTTTGTAGGGACATGGATGAAATTGGAAAACATCATTCTCAGTAAACTATCGCAAGAATAAAAAACCAAACACTGCATATTCTCACTCACAGGTGGGAATTGAACAATGAGATCACATGGACACAGGAAGGGGAATATCACACTCTGGGGACTGTTGTGGGGTGGGGGGAGGGGGGAGGGATAGCATTGGGAGATATACCTAATGCTAGATGACGAGTTAGTGGGTGCAGTGCACCAGCATGGCACATGTATACATATGTAACTAACCTGCACAATGTGCACATGTACCCTAAAACTTAAAGTATAATAATAATAAAAAAAAGAGGCCTAATAGAAGAGGATGGAGTAAAACCACTTGTGGGGATAGAATGAGATGTGTTCACTAATGGGATATTAATATAAAACAAAAGGAATATGGTAATGCTGGAAAATGTATGAGATATAATGGGATCTTCTCAGTTCTTCTCTCTTTCTGGTCTTCGCGATTATCAAAGACATCTCTGCTACTGCTCTGAACCAGGTATTAGTGTCCAGCATGGGAGAGTGTGTTAACCAGTTTATTACTTTAATAATGCTGTGTAACAAACAACTCTAAAATCTCAGCAGCTTATAGCAATACATATTTAATTCTCTCTCACAGATCAGAAGGTTGACTATAACTCTGTGTGTTGGTTTTATTTTTTTATTTTGAGACAATGTCTCACTCTATCACCCAGGCTGGAGAGCAGTGGTTCAGCCTCAACCTCCTGGGCTCAAGCAACCCTCCCACCTCAGCTTCCTGAGTGCCTGGAATCACAGGCATGCACCGCCCCCACCTAGCTAATTGTGTGATTTTTTTTTTTTTTTTTTTTTTTTGTAACAGAGATGAGGTCTCACTATGTTGCCCAAGTTGGTCTTAAACTCCTGAGCTCAAGCAATCTGTCTGCCTTGGCTTTCCAAAGTGTTGGTATTACAGGCGTGACCCACTGCACCCAGCTAACTCTGTTGGATTTGACAGAGTGTGGCGGGGTTCAGCTGGGCTTACCTCCAGGCTATGTGTGGGATTCAAGCCTGCTCCGTAAGTCTCCTTCTTCTGGAGCCAGCAGCTATCTGAGACGTGTTCTTCTCATGACAGAGGAGAGGGCCGAGGAGGCCAAGCAAGACACCAGGCACACTTAAAACCTCTGCTTGCATCTTTTCTGTTCATGTGCCATTGGCCAAAGTAAATCACAAGCCCAAGCCCAAAATAAGGGGGAAAGGGAAGTTCACTCCACCATAGATGGGAAGGGCAGAAGGAGTAATTGCTGACCAATTAAACAATCCACCAAAGAGGGAAGTGTGAGGAGAAGGAGAGGAGAAAGTGGACTAGGAATGTCATGCAGCCATTCACAAAGAGCCAGCCCAGAGCTAGGGTGACCTTGGTAGACACTGCTGAGACCCTGATCTATGCCAGGCAATGCACTGCATACTGGGCATACAGTATCTGAATAATTAAGGAACAGTTTCTGGTGACTAAAATGTCATCAGACTGCATGGCCCTTAACAATGAAGTGATTTAAATGGGAGTGAGAGAACGGTGATTCCAGCTCCTTCACTGTTGGGTGTCAGCCACCAGCCCTTTGGCTTCCTACCCTCCCTCCAGGTGTCAGCTGCTTCCCAGTGCCAGGGAGTCAAGCATAGGGACACCAAGTAAGTACTCCCCACAAGATGCACGTGGCAATTAAGCCATCAGCCACTGCAGAAGCCTGCACTCGGTTGTGCTTCCCTCCAACAGAAAATGCATCAAATTACAGGGAAGGCTCCTGCCCCCTTCGCACTGTTATCCATGACACAGAAATTTGGCAGTGATTTCTCTGAGGAGCTAATTGCCAATGTTAGCACAGTAAATCAAAAAGCCATGTATGGATTTTGCCCAACAGACCAGACATAGCTCACAGCGCAGATCCTACCACACAGAGCAAGGTCTGTGGGATGTCCCAGGAGAATTGATGTTGCAGCCCAGATCCTTGGAGGTGTCTTACTTCATCGTGACTCATTCTAATGATGATACGGTTTGAATTTGTGTCCCCACCAAATCTCATGTTGAATTGTAATCCCCAGTGTTGAATATGGGGACTGGTTACAGGTGATTGGATCACGGGGACAGAGTTCTCATGAATGGTTTAGCACCATTCCCCGCTAGTACTGCACAGTGAGTGAGTTCTCACAAGATCTTGTTGTTTAAAAGTGTGTAGCACCTCCCCCCACCCTTTTTCTCAGGCTCTGGCCATGTAAGACGTGTCTGCTTCCCCTTTGCCTTCCACCATGATCGGAAGCTTCCTGAGGCCTCCCCAGAAGCAGAAGCTGCTATGCTTCCTGTACAGCCTGCAGAACTGTGAGCCAATTCACACTCTTGTCTTTATAAATTACCCAGTCTCAGGTATTTCTTTATAGCAGTGCAAGAACAAACTAATACAGATAATATAGACATTCCCTTCCTTGTTGCTCCACCTGATCCCGTGGTGGAGCAGGTCAAAGAGCAAAGAATGAAGATGAACAGAATGAGACTTCTGGGTATAAAAGAATGGTGAAAAGGTCTGGAGAAAGGGCATCTTGCAGAAGCCTGAGAATTTTAGTAGAGCCCTTTCTTAAAAGCCTTATTCTATTTTGATTCATAAAAGTATCAAAATATTGAATTGACTCATTAGTATGACCAAATATAAAATTACTAAGACTAAAAGTACTGATGACCTAAGATTAAGTGTTTCTAGATGGAGTGGGTTTTGGGGGCCTCATGTCTGGGGCCATCCTCCCAAGGGGCAGACCATACCCGAGGTGTACACTCCCCTAAACTAGAGGAGTAGCCAAGGGATGCTGCTTGAAGGGCTTTGGACCACAGGGCGGGGTAGCCAGACCCATGGGAAAAAGGTCCCTCTTGGTACAGAATGTAGCTAGGGGTGGAAGTAGAAGAGAAAGTGAGTAGGCATGAGCCACAGGCAATGGGTCACTATCTTGGTACCACCAAGTTCTGGCCCAGAAATCCAAGGAATTCAAGAATTCTGACATTGAACCTGGTCTCATAGGTGATCATAGAGATATATGTGTCATGACACAAGATAAAACATTTTATTTACCTTTTTTACCTTGATTTATAACTTCAAATATTTAGACAAATGGTTCAAGGACCTCCATTTGTATCCTTTCCCTAATCCCTACAAATATCAGGGGTGGGAGTGTATCCAGGACTGGGGAAGGGGCAGGTCAGTTCCTGCCTGTGGCTGTTCCCTTAGGTTTCTGTGATGAGAAATCAGAGCAGCGAGCATCTCACGTCTGGCTTGTTAACTCTGGGGTCCCATCTCAGCCAGCTGTGAGCTCGTGATTGATCTTCCACCACCCTATCCAGCCCAAATCATATTTATTCATTTATTTTCCATAAGCATGTTTTTTCAACCTGAGAATTTTATCTGAACTACACTGTGCACCTCATTCATTTATTTCTAATTTCCCGTACATTAGAAATGACACAAAATCACTAGCATGGATTACTTTTTTATTAACAATGAGAGAAGAGGCAAATTGATGCCCAGATTGTTATCAGTCACAAAAAACCGTATAGTCAAAGAGCAAAAAATGAAAATGGTCAGAGTGACATTTCTAGGGATTGGGGAATTGAAGAAAAGTCTGGAAACAGGGCGTCTTGCACAAGCCTGAGATTTTAGTAGAGCTCTTTTTAAACACTGTATTCTATTTTGATTCATAGAAGTCTTAAAATTTGAATTGATGAATTAATACAACCAAATATAAAATTACCAAGATTAAAAGTACTGATGACTCAAGATTAAGTGTTTCTAGATAGGAGTCCAGAGGAAGCATTATCTGGGACAGAGGCTACACAAAGTAGAGTAAACTTGTCCATGACTACTGATCTGTAAGCCCTTGTTACTCAAGGGCTGGTCCACTGGCCAGCACCATTGACATCACCTTGAAGCTGGTTAGAAATGCAGATTCTCAGGCCGCACCTCGGACCTGCCGAATCAGGACCTGCATTTAGCAAGATCGCCAGTTAATTCCTATGAGAAGGGCAGCCATCACTTCTTTAAAATGATTATTTTTCAGTTCTGATTACTTAAAGCAGTGTATTAGGGTTCTCCAGAGACACAGAACTAATAGGCTGTATACATATGTAGAAAAAGATTTAGTATAAGGAACTGGCTTATGCAATTATTGATCCTAATAAATTCCAAGATCTGCAGTCAGCAAGCTGGAGACCCAGGAGAGCTGATGGTGTCATTCCAGTCCGAGACTAAAGGCCAGCAGGCTTGAGACCCAGGAAAAGTTGATACTTTTGTTCAAGTTTGAAGGCAGGGAAAAAACCAATGTCCCAACTCAAAGGCAGTCAGGCAGGAGGAGTTCCCTTTTACCCAAGAGAGGGTCAGGATTTTGAGCCTACTCAGGCCGTCAACTGATTGAATGAGGCCCACCCATATTAGGGAGTGTGTATTAGTCCATGTTCACACTGCTATGAAGAACTGCCCAAGACTGTGTAATTTATAGAGGAAAGAGGCTTAATTGATGCACAGCTCAGCATGGCTGAGGAGGCCTCAGGAAATTTATAATCATGGTGGAAGGTGAAGGGGAAGCAAGGCACCTTCTTCACAAGGCGGCAGGAAGGAGAATGAATGCAGGAGGAACTACCAAACACTTATAAAACCATCAGATCTCGTGAGAACTCACTATCATGAGAACAGCATGGGGGAAACCGCCCCCATTATTCCATTATCTCCACCTAGTCTGTCCCTTGACATATGGGGATTATGGGGATTACAATTCAAGATGAGATTTTGGGTGGGGACACAGCCAAACCATATCAGAGGGCAATCTGCTTTACTCAGTCTATCAATTTAGTGAAGTTCATCCTAAAATACCCTCAGAGAAACACCAAGAATAATGTTTGGCTAAATATCTGGGCATCCCATGACCCAGTCGAGTTGACACGTAAAATTAACCATCACAGGTAATCCATAAAAAATGAGATAGCCATTGGTTGGGAATTACTCCTTCAATTTCCTTTCATTATTCTGCCGTCAACCCTGTGTATATTCCTATCTCACCTCTAGCCCTATTGCCTGAGAGCCTTCCCCGTGCCATGCCCACCCCCCCAACGAGGTGGCCAGGTGGAGGCCCTGTAGGGCATGGAGACAGAGGGGCTGCCCATAGAGGCTTTGTGAGTGTGTCCATGGAGCTAAGAGTCAGGCAAATCCCTGACTTTCCACCACAGGAACTATCCCCTCCATCATGACAGTCTTTCTCATCATAAGACCCCCACTGTAATGACCAAACTCATACTTACAGTCATTTGGCAACTTTTAACAGAGCAGAAGAAATGATCAAAGCAGTAGTACACTACCCAGAGATTCAGGTGCCTTCATGCCATGAACATTTTTTAGAACAGTACCCCCGATTTTCACCTTACTTCAAAAGTCCTTGGTACAATGAAAATTGCCTATTTTTGTTCCTTAGAAATTTTACTCAAAAATGTGGAAGGCATTTTCAATCTAAATCTCATTTAACTCATGTTTTAAGACACTCTAGTCATCCAGCCCTTGCAGAAAAGTCCACCCAATTTAACATTTATAACATTTGGTTTTCATATTACTTGTTTTTTTCTACTTAATAAATCTCTGTGTGTATATGTGTGCGTGTTGTATATCTTGTTTTATTTTCATGATCAACTTTTAGGTTTTTACGAAATAAAATGAATTTCCAGGAACAGAACACCAATTCATAACTTTTTGCCTCTAGGAAATGAGGGTTTAATTTATGAAGTATAGATCTGCTGCCATGGTTCAGAAATTTAATTAAATCATAAGTCGAGTGAATTGTGTTTCTTTTCCCAGCCCAGAGGCCAGTGCCACTGCGAGTGTCGGGTGCTGAGTGTACATGGGATCCCCAGAAGCTCTGTCTGGGAAGTGGGAGTGGGGGGCAGTGTGGGGAAGCTCAGAGGCCCTGGAACAGGATTGCCAGGGTCTGGAGTCTGAGGCCGTCTTTTACTAACTGTGTCTTTCCCTCTGTTTCATTATTTCTAAAATGGAGAAATTGGTCAATGCAAGTTACAGATTAATGAGACTATTGATGTGAAGTGTTCATCGTAGTACCCAGCACTTAATAAATGTACAGCAAGTATGAGCTACCAGCTATCCCTCCCCTGGGGGTTAAAAGCTATGTGTAAAAGGAAAACTGGGGCTTCCACCCCGGCCAGGCATGTTCATTGCTGGTACCGGCCTTGACAAATTAGGCCCTCTGAGGGAGCCTCAGCCTCATTCTTCTTCAGAAGTGACCAATAGCAGATGACCTCCAGGTGTCCCTTGGCCAAACCAAACTTTCAGTCTGTTGCTTGTCCTGTGTCATGCAAGTACCTTCCAGGGATTGTAGAACCTTTGAAGGAGCTCACGGATAGAGCTGCTGTGGCTTCCCTGGATGGGGACACAGAAGAAGGGGCCCTGTAAACCTTCACTGCTTTTGGCAGGAAGTGAACAAGACCTTCTCCTATTGCAGGCCCACACAGATCTCACTCGCAAGCACCCTCTGCTGCATTTGAGTTTTTAAATGGTCTGCTCAGAAATGCTGAGATGTTGCTCTCACTTGTTCAATGTCTTCTTGCAGCAGACAGCACATGAATCCTAAAGTAGCCAAGCCTCAAGGGCTTTGCTTCATCCTCCGGGTTTCTCCTCCAAGAGACACACACCCTGGGAAGGAACAGAAGCACCTTTTGGGGGATATGGAATGTTTTACATCTCAGTCTGGGTGTTAGCTACGTGAAAAAAACCCATCTGCAAAACACTCATTGAGCTCTGTACTTAAGATGTGTGCACTTCATCCACTGTACTGTATATATGTTATTATACTTCAACTAAAACATTAAAAGAAAAACAAGATGTGGAGAAGCTGTGAAAATTAACAGGCAACATACAAATACCTAAAACAATTAGTGCAGACTCTTAGGCAGTAGAAATTACCTCCAGCTTCTCATGAAGAAATGAGAGAAATCCTACTACTAATCATAGGGCCTCTGGAAGCTTTGCTCCCCCTTTTATTTCTGATTTTCATGGCTTTGGCTCTTGACCTTAAATGAAAGCCAGTGGCAAGGTTAGCAGCAAAGGGAGGTGAGCTCATTACTTCTCTGACAGTCTGTTTCACCTAGACACTGAAGACAATTTCTCCCCATACTTGAGTAATCCCCACCAAATTACTTCAAGAAGGGCTGTTGGAATCACAGCCTAGAGGAGTTCTGATGAGTTCAGAATTGGAAATCATTAGGTCCCTCTAACCACTACTTAAGCATTTACTGTTAGAAATCCTTTGCCCCAGACACAAATGGTGGGTTATAAATTATTTATGGACCCAATTAGGGACATAATTGGAGTGATCTGGCTGTTTGCCATAGCACTAATGCATCTAAAGTTTTTCATCTTTCAGTTAAACTTTTTTCTGCTTTCTGTTACACTTTGATATCCTAATCTGCTCTCCAGAGGTCTGCAAAAATAAAAATAAAATAAAATAAGGAAAAGTGTTCATGACTCTTTCATAAATGCATATAAACTTGAGCTTCAGTGAAGAGTCATTGAATATCAGCAAGTTAATCATGCTTTTGCTTCATTATGCTCCCACAAGTATTAGCAAAAATCACTGACCTCAAATCACTTATAAAGAAATGGCTTTGATGTGTTTATGCAACCTCCTTCCTCTTTCAGTGTCACTGCAACCTCTGCCTCCCAGGATCAAGAGATTCTCCTGCCTCAGCCTCCTGAGTAGCTGGGATTACAGGTGCACATTACCACGCCCGGCTAATTTTGTACTTTGTAGTAGAGATGGGGTTTCACCATGTTGGCCAGGCTAGTCTCAAACTCCTGACCTTGGGTGATCCACCCACCTCGGCCTCCCAAAGTGCTAGGATTACAGGCATGAGCCCCATGGCGCCCAGCCTGACATTTCTTTATTTAAATGAGCTCAGTTGCGTTTTGGTTTCTTGCATTAGACTGTTTCTAAAACACAGAATAAGATTGGTTAATCCCTTCAAAATAAATGTGCCTACTTTTCCTTATTTGGTCCTGCCCCATTAAAAACTCAAGCTCCTTCATCTTTTAATGCTCAGTTCCACGCTGACACAGCGTGATATTGTAAAACACATATTTGGTCTTCAACCTCCTTTTCTGGCATACAACTCCTAAAATCCTTCGAATCTCCCCAAAGTGATGGTTTTTGTATGCTAATGATTGACTGGTGGCTGGCAGCCCCTAACATAGATTCAGGGTGGGGTTGGTCACTGGTCACTGGGAAACCAAAGCAGGGTTAGAGAGCTTGAATTTTCAGCTGTATGGGAATCCCAAACCTCTGGGGAGGGAAGAGGAACTGAAGGTTAAGTTGATCACCAATGGCCAATGGTTTAATCAATCATGCCTATGTAATGAAGCTTCCATTAAAACCCTAAAGGATGGGGTTTCAGGAGCTTCCAGATAGCTGAACATATGGAAGTTCCTGGTGGGGTCCTACAAGCTCTATCTGGAGGGCATGGAAGCCCTGCACCTCTCCTATCACCCTCCCTATGCATCTCTTCATCTGTATCTTAAAAATCTGGTATTTCCCTGAGTTCCGTGAGCTGCTCTAGCAAATGAATTGAAGCCAAGGAGAGGGTAGGGGTGGTGAGAACCATGATTTATAGCCAGTCAGTCACAGGCACAGGTAAAAACAGCCTGGGGCTTGCTGTTGGCATTGGAAGTGGAAGGCAGTTTTGTAGAACTGAGCCCTCAACCTGTGGGATGTGATGCTATTTCCAGGTAGATAGTGTCAGAATTGAATCAGAGGAAATTCAGCCAGTGTCTACTGCAGAATTGGTTGCTTACTGAATGGGGAAAGAATCCACACATTTGGTCACAGAAGTCTTCTGTGTTGATTGTTGTTGAGTGAGAGAATGGAAAAACACTTTGGGTTTATTTTCCCACTTAGACACCCTCAAAGGCTACCATGCTGACCTCAACCACTGAGACACCTGCCCACTCAGTGACATCCCAGTCCATATGGATTTTCATTGTCATTTCTTGGCTATGTCTTTGTCTGGACCCCTCTTTCCCGGGAATTCCCTATAATCCCTGTTATCTGCCTGGTTGGCTCCACTACAGGGTCTGAGTTCACTAAGAATGATTATGACTATGGTATTGGTCTGGGAAAAGTCTGTTGGCCTCTCAGACAGCTTTCCATGAGGGGCCATTTCCTTGCTGTCAGCTCAGAAATTTGATCTTCTCATTGTCCCAGAGGTGATGGGACTTGGGAATGGGACTCACGCTAACTAAGACGACGGGGGCTGACCTCTCAGGGCAGAATGCCACTGCATTCATTTGTTCTCTGTAGCCAAGAGGTATGGGAAGTCCAAATACCTCCTGAGGAGCTTGGGCCAAGAGCAAGAAGTTTGATCTGGATAACAGGAAGGCTTCCTGGCACCAGGCTGGGATTGCCCCTGCAGCCATCCCTAGAAGAGGATCTGGGTGATGGGCTGCGCAGATCTTCCATGGATACCCTTGTCTCTGGGGTTCTGCTTTCTCCACAATCCGTCTTTATTTGACTGAATCTACCCAGGCTGGCTAACACACTCTTTAGAAGCATTAATAACATGGTATATGCTGTGCTTTGCTGCCCAGATCCACCTTCAGAATGGAGGCACTCGATCATCCAGGTGCTGAGTTCCTCCCAGGGAAGCTGCCTCCCTAGGACATCCAACATCCAATGACTAGTGGATGCAGAGGTATAAAAGCCCACCCCTCTCACCCCAACTCACAGTGAAGAACTGTCTATTGGAACTATCATTCCCTCCATTTCATTCTCTTGGGGGCACCTTTTGTCTGTATTCCAAGCTCTATAAGTTACTACTTGTGTGAACTTTGGAAGGTTACTTAACTTCTCTGTGCTTCTGATTTCCCGTCTGTAGTATGAAATTCAAAAGAACTTCTTTACACAGACACTGTGAGTTTTGGATGAGACAGTAATTAGGAACACATACTACCAGATATGTGGTAGGCAGTGAATCTGTTTGTCAAATTAAGTGAACAATTAATGAGTAATATTAACAAGTGTTTACCTGATCAGACAGCCAATTCTCCTTGTGAGCCTGCGATCAAAATGCCTGAGACTTAGATTGCATTTAGGCATTTATTGATTTTTTCACTTGTCCATTCACTCACTCACTTCTCATTCATTCATTAATTTATGCATTCATTTGACAAATATTTTTGATCACCTTGCCTAATGAAGCAAACAAGGAACACACAATTACTATTCTCAATTATCACTGGAAGATAGTAGACCTTATGTTCTTAAAACATTTTAAAGCTTATCAAATGCTTTTATATCTATTATCTCATTAATCCTTACAACAACTGGTTGAGGTGGGGACAGTTATTTTCATTTTCAGGTGCAGTTAAATGACCTGCTCAAGACCTTACAGGAAGTAAGTTGTGTCTGAATTCCATTGTTTTGAATACAGACCCAAAGAGCTTTCTATGACCACATTCTAGGCTCCAGACAGACAGATGTGAAAAATTAAAGAGTACCTGATTAAGTGCTAAGTGACTGAGCCAAACGGCACTGCAGACAGATGATAAGTGGTGAGGGAAATATGTGAGGGATGGATTCCAGCACTTCTCCTGCTTTCCTTCCATGGCTATGGTAAAAACAACCTATTGATGCCCATTTCTCTGCAGAGCCCACACTCACATTTCCCAACCACCAAGATGAATTCTGGAACCTAGATTTATTTTTTAAATGATATATCCACATCTTGGTGGCCTCCCCCAACAAATTAACCTGGCATCCTAATTCCAAAGCCTATGACCTGAATAAATATGCAGTAGCTCTAGACAATGGTAAGCAATGAAGACTAAAAGTTGAAAGGTTTCAATAAAGTCAAAAGATAGTTTCAGTGGAGTACTTGACAGGAAGTGGTGGTTGGAGAGTGGGATGTTTGAAATTGCCATTTCAGAACTTTTGATGTAGGGTTTGACTGTAGGAATGGACGTGCGAGTTGAAATGGAGAAGTCTTTGGAGATGAGTAAGTCAAGAAAATGAGGATCCACAGTGGTCGATGATTCCTCCATATGGACAAGAAAATCATTCAGAATGAAGCTAATGTTGACAGGAGAAGACTGAAAACAGGAGCTCCCTTCTTTGGTGAATGACAGAAAGTGTTGAGGATGTTGGTGAATTACAACAATGAGGAAGAGGGGAAGCGGGACAGACGGAATAATCCTCAGAGACACTGGGGCTTACAGGAAAAATGACTGGAATGTGGAAATCGTAATTAAAAACACAGACCCCACTTCCTGACCCCAAAGAACTTGTGCTGGATACAGGAAAAATAAATAAATTAAAAACAGCCTCCACTTGAGAGAGCTATGAGGGAAAGGGGGCCCTACAGGAGGGCCCATCTAAGTCCAGAAGGAAGAGGCATGTTTTGAGAAGGTGTTGATGATACAGGAAACTTTGCTGGCCTTCCAGAGTACATAGAGCAAGGCTTTGGGATGAAGGACCAGTCCAGTCCATCTTACAGGATGAAATCAGCAGCACAGGATGAGTCTGAGTGATGATGGATGCTGCCGAGATGAGACTTAGGACTCACCCTGAAGTTCTGATGCATGGAGCCAACTGTCCACAGGTTTCTCTACATGGATGTCCTGTGCATTCCTCAAACACATCTTCTTCCTCTTCCTCCTCTCTTCCCTGCTCCAATTTGCTCTTCTACAACAATCTAAGTCACCCCATTCATCCCATGCCAAAATCTGAAAAACAGGAATCATTCATCACAGATTTGTGCATCTTTCTGTCAACCCCAAAGCAATGTCGCCAACTCTTGTTGCTTTTATTTCTTAAGTATTTATTGAATATATCCCCTCCTCTCCATTCCATCTATTCTCTCCTCACTTCCTCTCCACTTGTTTCTTGCTCGTCTCAAACTCCTTCTACTTTGTTGCTAAAGTGACCTAATGAATATGCTAAGTCCAACCCATTTCTACTGCCTTTAAAACCTCAGTGTCTCCCTGCAGGATGAAGCCTGGGACTCTCAGCGGAATGCACACACGGACTTTGTGACCTGACCCCATTCACCTCTGCAGTGTCATTTCCACCAAACCTCCAACTGGCATCATCTTTTCCAGAAATATCAAATTGCCTGAGGTTCCCTGAAACACCACACAGTCTCCTACTCCAGACCTCTCGTGTTCTTCCTATGGCCTGTGTGGGAGCAGGCTCTTTTAGATGCAAAGAATAAAGACACACTAGGACTGCCTTAGGAAAGGGGTTATTGTCTATCAGAATGGAATTTACATGGAGTGGCATGTCCTCAGGGTGGGATGGGAACCAAGACACAGCCTCTTGTGGAGACCAGAATGTGGTTCAGGATCTAAAAAGTCATTTGGGAACTCTCTACTATCTTCTTCTTCTCTAGTGATTAAGGGAAAAGACATGATCATAAGAAACAGTAACACAGAAGATTTATTGGTTGGCGCTTGAACAGGGTTGGGTGAGAGAGGAAGTCCCTTACAGTATGACACTGTCCAGAAGCTTCTAGAAGAGGAGGAGGTCAAGGGAACTCCCAGGGGAGAAAGGGATCAGAGTGGGGCTTATGTGACTAGGTGAGGCACAGCGGGGAGTCTCTGGGTCAGAGAGCTCCGAGGGGCAGGGGTGGCTTAGGGTCTTAAAACCGTAAGACTCTTATCTTATCAATGGCCAGCAGATACTGGGTGTACTTTCACAGGGTTGGCAAAGACAGTGGGCTCTAAATGGTTTTGAGTTTGATGCCTGTAGCCTTTTAGCCAACAAGTCTCAGCCTGCTATGAAGAAATAGCCTAGAGGCCAAAACACAGAGGCCCTCTTTGGTTCATTTATACAACACAGCTGCACCAGTGCCAGGCTGCTCATAGGTCACTGGCCAGCCTGTTGAGTGGCTGCCATCTGATCTGGTACCTAGTCCTGCTCCAAACAGCTTGGGCCACAGTGAGAGGGTCAATGTTCTAGACATGGCCACCCCTGCATAAGGAGCCACTCAAAGGGTGGTTACTAGTTTAATGGACTCCAGATAATTTGCCCTGAAACCCCAGAGGGCCCTTCATTCTTTGTGATCTTTGCTGTCCCAGTCAGTCATTCACAGCTGAAGTCACATGCCATCTCTTACAGATCGCCTTCCCCCCTGACACTTGCCCACCTACTGCCCCCACCCTCCTGTCTCCATAGCATCCTATGCATGCTTCTGTCTTTCCATGTCTGATATTGTTTGGATATTTGTCCCCACTCAAATCTCATGTTGAATTGTAATCCCCAATGCTGGAGGTGGGGCCTGGTGGGAGGTGTTTGGGTCATGGGGGTGGATCTCTCATGGCTTGGTGCAATCTTCATAATAGTAAGCTCTCACAAGATCTGGTCATTTAAAAGTGTGTGGCACCTCTTCCCCAACTCTCTCTCTTTCTCTCTCTCTTGCTTCTGCTTTCACCATGTGACATGCCTGCTCCTCCTTCACCTTCAATCATGATTGTAAGCGTCCTGAGGCTTCCCTAAAAGCTGAGCAGATGCCAGCACCATGCTTCCTATAAAGCCAGCAGAACTATGAGCCAACTAAACCTCTTTTCATTATAAATTATATTTATAAATATAAATTTATATTATAAATTTATTATATAATTATTGTAATTTATAAAGCATACAAATTATAATATACCTTATATATTATACATTTCTATATAGCAATTCAAGAATAGCCTAATACATAAAATTGGTACTGAGGAGTAAGGCATTGCTATAAAGATGCCTGAAGACGTGGAAGTGACTTTGGAACTGGATAATTGGCGGAAGTTGGAAGGATTTGGAAGGCTCAGAAGAAAACAGGAGAATGAGGGAAAGTTTGGACCTTCTCAGAGACTGACTAGACAGTTGTGACCAAAATGCTGGTAATGATATGGACAGTGAAGTCTGGGCTGACAAGGTCTCAGATGGAAATGAGGAACTTATTGGAAATTAGAGCAAATGACACACTTGTTATGCCTTAGGAAAGAACATGGCCATATTGTGTCCATGCCCTAGGGATCTGTGAAAGTTTGAACTAAAGAGTGATGATTTAGGGTATCTGGCGGCATACATGGGCAGTCTGTCAAAGGTGGAAGACATTTCTAAGCAGCAAAGCATTCAAGATTTGGCCTGGCTGAGCCTATGCTCAGATGCAAGAGCAAAGAAATGAACTAAAGTTGGAATTTATATTTAAAAAAGAAGCAGAACTAAAAGTTTGGAAAATTTTTAGCCTGGCCATGTGGCAGAGAAAGAAAATATCTTTTTTTGAGAGAGGAATTCAAGCTGGCAGCAACCACTTACTAGAGGAAATACTTGCATAACTAAAAGGGAGCCAAGTGCTAATATCCAAGAAAACTAGAAAGATCTCAAAGGCATTTCAGAGACCTAAGAGGCAGCCCCTCCTATCACAGACCCAGAAGCCAAGGAGAGAAGAATTGTTTAGTGAGTCAGGCCTGGGGCCCCACTTTTCTGCACAGCCCCAGGACACTGCTCCTCACTTTCCAGCCACTCCAGCTCCAGCTCCAGCTGTGGATCAAAGGAGCCCAGGCAGAGCTCAAGCTGCCACTTTGGAGAATGCAAACCATAAGCCTTGGCAGCTTCCATGTGGTGTTAAGCCTGTGGGTGAGCAGAGTGCAAGAGTGAATGCTTGGCAGCCTCCACCTATTTTCAGAGGTTGTGAGAAATCCTGGGTGCCCAGGGAGACGCCTGCTGTGGACCTCCCACAGAGAACCTCTACTAGGACAGTGTGGAGTGGAAATGTGGGATTGGAGCCCACACACAGAGTCCCCACTGGGGCACTGCCTAGAGGAGCTGTGAAAACGGGATTCCACTAGGCAGTGCCCCAGTGGGCTCTCTACTCCACTGCCCTCTAGTGGGGACTAGCTCTACTGCTGTCCAGACTCCGGAATGGTAGATCCACTGGCAACTTGTACTCTGCACCTAGAAAAGCTTCAGGCACTCAAAAACCTGTGAGAACACCTGTGGGGGCTGAAGCCTGCAAAGCTACAGAGGCAGAGCTGCCCAAGACCCTGGGAGCCCACCTTTTGCACCAGTGTGCCTTAGATGTGGGATATGCAGTCAAAGGAGATTATTTTGAAGTTTTAATATTTAATGACTGCACTGCTGGGCCTTGAACTTTCATGGGGCCTGTAGCCCGTTTCTTTTGACTAACTTCTCTCTTTTGGAAATGAGCATGTTTACCCAATACCTATACCCCCTTTGTATCTTGGGAGTAACTAACTTTTTTATCTTACAGGATCGTAGGTGAAAAGGACTTGCCTTGTCTCAGATGAGACTTCGGGCTTTGGAGTTAATGCTGGAACAAGTTAAGACTTTAGAGGACTGTTGGGAAGCATGATTGTATTCTTTGATGTGAGAAGGACATGAAATTTGGAAAGGGCCTGGGGCAGAATGGTATAGTTTTGATATTTGTCCCCACCCAAATCTCATGTTGAATTGCAATCTCCAAAGGTGGAGCTGGGGCCTGGTGGGAGGTCTTTGGGTCATGGGGGCTTGGTGCTGTCTTCATGATAGTGAGGAAGCTCTCATGAGATTTGGCCATTTAAAAGTGCATGGTACCCACCAACTCAACCACCGCTTTCTCTCTTGCTTGCTCCTCTGGCCATGTGACATGCCTGCTCTCTCTTCACCTTCTGCCAGAATTGTAAGCTTCCTGAGGCCACCCTAGAAGCCAAGCAGATGCTAGCAGCATGCTTCTTCTGCAGAGCTATGATCCAATTAAAACTTTTTCCTTTATAAATTACCCAGTCTCAGGTATTTCTTTATAGCAATACAAGAATTGTCTAATACAATGTCATTTATATAGGTTTTTTTTTTTTATCACTTTGTCTCAAGTATGAAACTGAAAAGCATCAATGTCTGAGCCACCTTGCATGTCTCCAGGACATCTCAGAATTTCTAGTAAAGGGTGCTCAATGAATAGCCACTAAAGAGAATTATTTCTGAAAAAGATTAAGAAGGTTTCACAGAAGAAATTATGCCTAAACAGTGTTTTGAAAGAGTGGATTTCAGAGAAAGACATAACAGTTTGGATAAAAGCCCAGAGGCATGAAAGTATAACATGGTTGAGAAACTATAAGTACTTTGAGCTATAAGTCCTTGGCCAGAAGTTCCAAGTAGCTTGTGGGGGGCTGGTGGGGGGGGGGTGGGAATGGATGGTCCCTAGAGGCCTTCAAGGGTAATAGCATCTAAGTGAATTAAGCCCAAATCCTCAGTTTTGGCAACACCTCAGAATTAATCCCAGACAGGCTGACTTGCACTAACAAAGCTAATTTAATATGAAGGGATAAAATCAGAATGCCAGTTTCTTAATTAACAAGGAGAAATAAACATGTCAGGCAGAAAAGAATGCTTGTGTCAACACAACCAGTACATTCTCTCTCTGTACATGGATTTACATATGAAACCAATTTATGAACAGAATAATGCTGAGAGAGGATAAGATTTGAAACAAGGGAGTTGGGATTTGAATGCTTAATGATATCAAGCCCCGATCAGGGTCCCAGCAGGAAACAGATGGCACACTCAAATTGGATAACTATGGGGACAGTTCAGTACACTATTACTACCACTAGGTCAGAAGAAGTGAGGGAAAGAGTGGCAACTGGAAATCAGAGAAAGAGAGCTGTAGGAGAAACCATAGTGAAGAAGCTGCGGCCTTAAGTCAGGACAGCCAGCATGGAATGGAGCAGGAGGTATCAATAGTCCAAACTGACTCTCATCTCCCCCTTTTATCTCCTGCTGTGTTTTCCATTAACTAAAGCCAATGCAAAGCCACATGGCAAGGGAACCCATGGATGCAGTTTATTCGTGCCAGCCTCCCAAGACCAGAGAAGGAATGGAGGGGCCAATTGAGAACAGCTAGCACATTACATTGATCTAACAGAGTTGCATTTGGGGCAAACCTCCCTGAGCAATGCTCACATGGACATTGCCAGTTCTTCCTTGTTGCAAACTCACGTTCTTCCCAGCTACTGATGGCTCTCCCCTTTGTGAACAACACATATTCTTCACAAACTTCTTTAAACAGGAACATGATCTTTTCTCTGCCTGGACTTGGTTTGGCTCACACAGACAGGCTTTTTTCACTTTTCCTGTTTCTGGCCCTGGAACTATTTTATCTCTAAGGAGCTTTTCATATATATCGTTCTCATCCATTTTGGGTTGCTATTTATAGTTTAACTGGCAGAGTTAAACTCTACCTGTTGCCCACTTTAATGACCTTGAATTAAGTTCTGTATGCATCAGGGGTGGAAGTTGATAATTGCAGACACTGAGTAGCAAGACATCTGAGAGAAAATAGTTAGGGAAATTGTTGCAGTGGCAATGAGAATGGAGAGGAGAAATTGGTTTTAAAAGCTATTTAGGAAGTAGGGATGCCAAGACTTAGGGAATATAAGAGGAAGAAAAGGGCGTCTGAAAGAAAATGAATTTCATTTGAGACTGCAAAGTTTGAGGGGCCTGAAGATCACTTAGGAAAAGACCCACCCCTCTCCCAGTAGCTGTTTTTGTTCATGGTTCAGGCTATCCAGTGTTTCTAGAAAGTTAACCTTTCAGCACCACAGCTGAGGACAGCTCCAGTCAGGACTCTCATCAAGTAAACCAGTGACATTAAGGGTGCTGGACAACTCTTTGGAGGATCATATCTATACCCTTGGGGTACACTAAGAAGCATAATTGTTCAACTATATTCTTTCCTTGATTTTTTTTTCTTTGCTGGCACAAGTTAACTTGTTCCCTCACCTTAGGGCTTACTTGGGGGATTATACATACAGCTCATCACTCTGCAAAATTATCATGGATGTAAACTAGGTAAATATGCAAACTAGACTGTACTATAAGCTGGAAGATTACAATTTCCACATAATGAATAACTGTGTAATTCTCACTGGGCAGGCTCCAAGAAAGAATAAGAAATGGTCTTCATCCTCGTGGAGCTTACAATCTAGTTGGATGCACAAGAAAATCACACACTAAAATGATAATTATATAGAATAGCATTGGCATTCTGAGGAGAGAGAGAGAGACCAATGTTGGGGAAGGCTTGAAAGAGGAAGTTTGTAGGACACATAAACTTTGGTTATGCTGGAAAGGGAGGGAAAGGCCCTCTAAATGAGGGGAAGAGTCTGGGCAAAGGCATGGAAATAGGGATGCTCCATGCGTTGGAGACATAGGAAGGTGGGGCATGTCAGTGAATATGCATCTATAATAACATCATAGAGGAGATGCTGTAGAAACCGTAGTAATAAAAATGTGAGGCTGTCCATGGCCTTTGGCTCATCTCACTCTAAATCGTAATCAGGGTATCTCCCCTGCCAGGTAATTATCTCACCTTAAATTGGACTCGGAGGAAAAAAAAAGCAAGGCTAGTACAATACAGGCTGAAGACAAGGGTTTTGAGGTTACCTTATTCACTGTTAAAAGCATTGTGAGGGCCTGCTACAAACAAGAATCCATGTATACCAAGATGGATGTCATTGAGTGCTTTCATATTTCTTTTATCCATTTGATTGTTAAAATACCTTTGTAAGGTGGACAGAAGGGAGAAGATTGTGTGTAAGTGTCCAGAGAAGAAAGCTGAGCACAGAGTTCAGACGGCTTCATTAAGGCCAGGTGGTTATTGAGGAAGAAAGTCAATACCATCATCCGAGTCTCTTTCTCCTTGGGGTGCAATTGGCGCCAACTTTCTCAAGCAACCCTGAGCCTGCCTAGAGAGTGATGGATGACCAAGAGAATGAGAAATGAGAAATGGTATCTACTGAACACTAATACATCATATATTTAGGAAGCACCTACTGTCCTAGGTGTTGTCCTCATTCCACTGTGAATGAGGGGCCATGGTCCTGGTTTTATACAGTTCACTTTAGACTTTAGTGACTCTGTCCTGACTGTTAATCCATACAGTGATAGATCCTTGCAAAGACTTCCCTACATAGTGGGGGCACTGGAATGTGGGACAGTCACACAAGCTTATGGCCACCACTTTCCTGTTTTGCTCATTGCAATAAGCCAATTTGATGAGACCTGAAGGGAAGTCATCTCATATCCTACACTCTAATTGACTTGACCCACAATGTAGGTGTCTATATAGACTGGTTCCCAAACTGAACTAATGAAATGTTTAAAGAAGGCTGGACATATGAGATTCCCTCTTTTTAGGTCTACAGTCATTTGGTGAGTATGCAGCAGGTATAATTGATCCCTCAATATTCTCCATGCCTTTGTAACTCAGTCTTATTTCCCAGTCCTTCCTTTTTAGTTACTTAACATATTCACCCAAGAGTATTCAGGGACAGCAAAGGGAAAGAAGACATATTATCCATTCCAGCACAATGCACAGGCAGACGTGTTAACCATGTTACTTCTTGAAACGACTCTTAGTTGAGGAAGTGTTAAGGCAGAAGTCATCCCTAATATTTCCTGTTTAACGCATGACCTATATCTTGTTTCAATAGTAAATAAGTCTTTGTTAATAACAGTGAAAGAGTTGTGAGCATACATGGACTTGTCTGAAATTACAGAATTTAAAAATTAGCAATCTGAAGTCTAATCCACCACTTCAAGTTTAAAAGATTCTTCTTATTGACTTTGCCTTTATAATGTGTAGTCAGAGACAACATAAAGATACATCCTCATTTCTCAGTATATTTTTCTACATACATATGCATCCTTGAATATGTTGTATTATATACATAAGTGTCTCACTAAATTGAATCTGTAAACTTCCTAGGTCTAATGTTTTTCTTAAACATTTTTTTTTACTATGGATATGATTATAACAAACTGTCGTGTAGAAACATAGAATCCTAGGACTAGAAAAGATCTTAAATTTCATCCTCAACTTCTAATAGACATTCTAAGGTAATATTTTTAAAAATCATTTTAATAGCCCCTCTGATTTTTAACATACTTTTATCTTCCGTGGATGTGAAGACAGCAAAGTGCATTTACAGTATCTCTAATTCCTGGTCTTTGGACTGCTGTTCCCTCGCCAATCCGTGTGACCCCATACACACGAGGGATTTTTTTTTTTCATAAACATTTTCAAGAGTTTCAAGGCTCTTTTACGAAAGTCCAGGTAGGTTGCATTATCTGAGTTTCTCTAGCAACCCAGTTATTAGAATTCAATTAAAAATGAAAGTATAGGAGCAGTGGCTCAGGTAACCCATTGTTCTTAGTTGTTATTTATGGTTTATTATGACTCAGAGCAGTGGACTGCAACTCAAAGAGAGGGAGCACTTGTAGAATAAAGTCATAAACTATAGGCTTTCTGCCTAAAAATTCTATATTGCCTGTATATTCAGTGCAGTGAATCATCATGAAAATGAGTCACATGAATAGATCAACTAGTAATCACTGGAATTTTTCCTTTAACCAGCAAGGAATTATTTGGCCCTCAAGCTGGAAAATGCGGAAGAAGAAAATGATTAGAGCACTGGTTTTCAACCTTGGCTGTGCACTTGATTCATCTGGCGAGGTTTCAAAATCCTTAGTGTTCAGGCTGCACAGCAGACCCATTCATTAATCAGAATCTCTGGGAGTAGGAGCAAGTATCAGTATTTTCTAAAGCTTCCCGAGATATTCTAAATGTGCAGCCAGATTTTAAAACTACTGTCATCAAAAAACTACTGATGCCTGGGTGCCATCACAAACACTGAGTTGCAAAAGGTTTAGGGTACAGCCTGAGCACCAGGATTCCTATAGGTTCCCTAAGTGGTTTCAGTTGTGTGGCCAGGTTGGGAGCCAATTGTTTAGAGATGAGAGAGCAATGCCATGGCTGCATAAAATGAAAAGACATTCTATACATGGTGAGACCACCTTCTTGCCCATCTTCTTCTCCACCCTCTCTCCCCAGCCAGGGGAAAAATATACATTAGGAAGGAGTGGTTTGTCAGAAAGCTTTACCATACCAAGGTATTGAGGGAGAACTTTGTAACATAATTAGGGATGTGGGTAATGAAATCCATCATTTAGATCTGCTGAGGGTTTCCAACAAGCAACTACCTCTAGCAACGTGAGCTATATGTGAGTTTTAGGTTCTTGAAAAAGGGGGAAAGATTTCTCTCTGGAGTGGAAATGCCACATATCCATCAGCCTTTCCTTTCCGCTTAGAGACTTTGAGTTCATTTACCTGGCAGAAATCAGTTGCCTCTAATTCATATCAGAGGCCACCAGAAGCTGCAAAATTGGTAAGATCTAAGAAACTTAGTGTTTTTTGTTTTTTTTTTTTCTGGAAGGGGAAGAATATGAATAAGAGGGAAAGGCAAAAGAGAGAGGAAGTCGCACACAAAAAATTTTCCATTCCTGTTGGACACCTGTGGAGAGAGAGGCCATGTGTGTCATCAATTTGGTGACATATAAATATTCAAGTCGATTCCAAACTGTGTTACTCACAGGAGAGTCACAGCCAGAGAACACCCAAAAAGGTGACATTTGGGGCAAGGCTTTGGGCTTTTTTCACCTTTGATCAGAAGCAAAGCTGTAGAGATGTATAGAGCATTGGAAAACTTTTAAGCCAGTACTTAGATGTCAGAAAGTGTCACGGATTTCACAATGCGGGGAAGAAAACCTGAAAAATAAAATCATCTTCATTACATTCATCATGCTTCTTCCTCAACCTACATGGTCTCCCAAGCGATTCTAAATGTACAGCCAAATTTAATCTTGTAATACCCCCAAATTCCTATTTTAAAGCATAAAACAGAAGTTTGATCCTTGTGTGTAAACACTGCATTCTTATTTGTGTTCTCTTTGAGAGAGCATGTGGCCCAGCAGGAGGCCTCTTCTCCCTGCCTGCCCAGACAGCTGGTTTGGCCTTGGACCCAGGCAGCATTCTTGGCGAGCAGATATTTTGTGGTCTCGGTTGCTGGAATGATGAGATGGTCATGGGGGCAAAGAAGATGGAGAGAGGAGGCTGTTGTAGGAAAGTTGCACTATTACTGATTTTAAATTATACTCTTATCCGAAGATTTCTCCGTTGGCTCTTTGGTTCAAAACCAGTGGTCAGGACGGTAGCTTAAGACACTCCACCTTTCAATAATCGCCATTCTAAATGGTGTGAGATGGTATCTCATGGTGGTTTTGATTTACATTTCTCTAATGACCAATGATGATAAGCCTTTTCATACATTTGTTGGCCACATAAATGTCTTCTTCTGAGAAGTATCTGTTCATATCCTTTGCCCACTTTTTGATGGGGTTATTTGTTTTTTTTCTCGTAAATTTGTTTAAGTTCCTTGTAGATTCTGGATATTAGCCCTTTGTCAGATGAATAGATGGCAAAAATTTTCTCCCGTTCTCTAGGTTGCCTGTTCACTCTGATGATAGTTTCTTTTGTTGTGCAGAAAGCTCTTTAGTTTAATTAGATCCCATTTGTCTATTTTGCCTTTTGTTGCCGTTGCTTTTGATGTTTTAGTCATGAAGTCTTTGCCCATGCCTATGTCCCAAATTGTATTGCCTAGGTTTTCTTCTAGGGTTTGTATGGTTTTAGGTCTTATATTTAAGTCTTTAATCCACCTTGAGTTGATTTTTGTATAAGGTGTAAGGAATAGGTCCAGCTTCAGTTTTCTGCATATGGCTAGCCAGTTTTCCCAACACCATTCATTAAACAGGGAATCCTTTCCCCATTGCTTGTTTTTGTCAGGTTTGTCAAAGATCAGATGGTTGTAGATGTGTGGCATTATTTCTGAGGCCTCTATTCTTTTCCATTGGTCTATATATCTGTTTTGGTACCAGTACCATGCTATTTTGGTTACTGTAGCCTTCTAGTACAGTTTGAAATCAGGTAGTGTGATGCCTCCAGCTTTCTTCTTTTTGCTTAGGATTGTCTTGGCTATATGGGCTCTTTATTGGTTCCATATGAAATTTAAAGTAGTTTTTTCTAATTCTGTGAAGAAAGTCAATAGTAGCTTGATGGGGATAGCATTAAATCTATAAATTACTTTGGGCAGTATGGCCATTTTCACGATATTGATTCTTCCTATCCATGAGCATGGAATGTTTTTTCATTTGTTTGTGTCCTCTCTTATTTCCTTGAGCAGTGGTTTGCAGTTCTCCTTGAAGAGGTCCTTCATATCCCTTGTAAGTTGTATTCCTAGGTATTTTATTATCTTTGTAGCAATTGTGAATGGGAGTTCACTCATGATTTGGCTCTGTGTTTGTGTATTATTGCTGTATAGGAAAGCTTGTGATTTTTGCACATTGATTTTGTATCCTGAGACTTTGCTGAAGTTGCTTATCAGCTTAAGGAGATTTTGGGCTGAGATGATGAGGTTTTCTAAATATACATCATGTCATGCACAAAAAGTAAGGCAACAACAGATGCTGGAGAGGATATGGAGAAATAGGAACGCTTTTACACTGTTGATGGGAGTGTAAATTAGTTCAACCATTGTGGAAGACAGTGTGGCAATTCCTCAAGGATCTAGAACCAGAAATACCATTTGACCCAGCAATACCATTACTGGGTATATACCCAAAGGATTATAAATCATTCTACTATAAAGACACATGCAATGTATGTTTATTGTGGCACTATTCACAATAGCAAAGACTTGGAACCAACCCAAATGCCCATCAATGATAGACTGGATTAAAAAAATGTGGCATATGTACACCATGGAATACTATGCAGCCGTAAAAAAGGATGAGTTCATATCCTTTGCAGGGACATCGATAAAGCTGGAAACCATCATTCTCAGCAAACTAGCACAGGAACTGAAAACCAAACATCGCATGTTCTCACTCATAAGTGGGAACTGAACAATGAGAACACATGGACACAGGGAGAGGAACATCACACACTGGGGCCTGTCGGGAGGTGGGGGGTTAGGGGAGGGATAGCATTAGGAGAAATACCTAATGTCGGTGACAGATTGATGGGTGCAGCAAACCACCATGGCACGTGTCTACCTATGTAACAAAACTGAACATTCTGCACACGTATCCCAGAACTTAAAGTATTTTAAAAAATGTATAACAAAAAAAAGAAAGACACTCTACCTATTCTGACAGGTCTCTCCTCATCTGCTCACTCCAGTATTACTCATTAAACAGCATGAATTGTGGGGCTTCACTTCCCCTTTTGATTACCTTATTATCTGCCTTCAAAGCTAAGCCCTAATTAATGAATTCCCAGATGGGAGACTAAGCCCAGCCATTGCCAGCAAGTCCATCCCTCGGGGAATCCTTTACTTCCCATCAGAAAGGAGCAGACATTTGGCTGCTGTCCAGCCTAGGGCTTCACAATTCCAGCTTGATAAAGCCTTGGAGGGTTTCTTTCTCTCTGGGAATCCACTTCCTTAATCACCAACACTTCAGAGCTAATTACACTGATTTAATGCACCTGGCTTTCTCTTGCACTTAAACCCTCAATGGGAGAGGAAATACTCTGACCAATCAGCATTTATTGGAAAGCCATGAAACCAATGAGGCATAATCAGTTCCAGGGCTTGTGCTGGGTCAGTCGGAGCAGGAGTCACTTAAGCCCCGAGGAGAGCTTTCTACCCTCCTATTGTTAAAGGACTGCAAGCCATACTGAGAGTCTCAGTGCCAGGACATCTGTGGGCTCAGACTGCTTCCTAGTGGCTTCATATATGTGGGCCTGCTTTCCTCAGTTAACAATTGATTGAAATCTGGTGTTGTTACTGTGGGAGACCTTAGAGAGTAGTGACTGAGAGAATGAACTCTGGAGCCAGACATGCTTGGGTTTAAAATCTGCCCACAAGACTGTCTACATGTAGGCATTTGGGTGAGGTAATTTCTCTAAACTTCAGTTTTTCAGCCACCAAATGGGGGTACTACTGCCTAGCCCATACAGCATCTTAACTTCAGCTTTCCATGAGAACCACCTGGCTCTTACTACCAGGGATACTGACACGATTAGTGTGGGCTGCATCTGAGGATTAGAAGGCTTTAAATCCCCCCAAGCGCAGTCAAGGTTGAGAAACACTGTTGTGTGGGTTTATGTGAGGTAGTGCATATAAACTTGCTGCTCAAAGTGGGGTCGGTAGACTTGCATCATCGTCATTAACCAAGAACGTACTGATAGAAATGTAGACTCTCATACCCCATCCAGATATGCTGAATCAGAATATGCATTTTAGGCCAGGTATGGTAGCTCACGCTTGTAATCCCAGCACTTTGGGAGGCCGAGGTGGGAGGATCGCTTTAGCCAAGGAGATCAAGACCAGCCTGGGCAAGGTGGCAAGATCTTGTCTCTACAAAAAAAAAAAAAATTAAAAAATTAGTCAGGTGTGGTGGCACATACCTGTCGTCCCAGCTACTTGAGAAGCTGAGGTGAGAGTATTGTTTGAGCCCAGAAATTCAAGGCAGCAATGAGCTATGGTTGCACCACTGTACTCCAGCCTGGGCAACAAAACAAGATTCCATCTCTAAAAAGTAAAAAAGACTATGCATTTTAACAATGTGCCCAGGCGATGGGTGTGCATATCACAGTTTGAGAAGCATGGATAGAAAGCACCTAGCATTAGCCTAGCACACAGTAGGAGCTCATCAGGGGAGGTGGTGGTTTTGTAACTATCACTGGCGTTAAATGTAACCAGGCACTGGATAGAGGACCTGCTTGGGAAAAGCTTTGAACAGGAGCCTGCTAATTACTGGCTGAATGGACTTAGCCTTTCTGAGATTTGTTTTTCCCTCAACTATGCAGAGGGAAGAGGGAAGAATAGAAATGGCCAACACTTCTCCGTTTTTGAGAGGATGGATTGTGTTAATGAAAAGGAACTTGCTCATAAATTGTCAAACTGTAGTGTAGGACCAAAGCTGAACGGGACAGTTTCGTAGTCTTCCCCACTCCCTGAGCCCACCAAAAAGAACCCTGAAATCACCTGATTTCCCCTCCCTTCTCCTAGGGAAGAGGCGTTCTTGCTGGGAGAGAGGCAAGGTTATTCTGCATAGTGAAGGAATGGAAAGAGAACACAAGAGAGGGAGTTAAAATGGTATTGAGACTACAGGAAATTCTCCCAAACAGTGACCATGTAAAGAAAAGTGAGTAGGAAAAGAAAGATTTGTGTCAGTGTGGTGGATTTAAATCTCTTCCACACAGATTGTCTCTCTCTTGTTTTTTGTTTGTTTTGTTTTTGTTGTTGTTGTTGTTTGTTTGTTTTTTGAGACAGGGTCTCACTCTGTTGCCAAAGCTGGAGTGCACTGATGCAATCACAGCCCACTACATCCTGGACCTCCCAGGCTCAAACAGTCCTCCCACCTGTCTCCTGAGTAACTGGGACTACAGGCAAGCACCTGCATGCCCAGCTAATTTTTGTAGATTTTTAGAGATGGGGTTTTGCTATGTTACCCAGACTGGTCTTGAATTCCTGGGCTCAAATCGTCCTCCTGTCTTGGCCTCCCAAAGTGCTGGGATTACAGGAATGAGCCACCGCACCCAGCCTTGTGTCTCTTTCTTAAAATTACTTTTGTTACTACATTTAATTTTTGGAATGGGACGTTGTTCAGAGATTTTATTATGAGTTGCGTGGTTGCAAGGCATTAGTACACTTATATCCGTCAGTGTTCACCCACCAAAGACTGTCAGGAACACTTCTGTAGTCGAAGATAAAGTTAGGTTTACTGACCTTGCTGTGAAAAGGGGGGACGCACAGCAGGGAAATCACTGGGCACCTTGGGAGAAGGGACTTGGGAGTGATTTATTACAGCATTTGGGCATGTGCTGGGAATGTCTATAAGGAGAGTTTAAGAGAGCAGCAGGGTCCTGCTCAGGATCCAGCTCCATCAGGGAGGAGGGGCAAGCTCATAATTAGATATCTCAATAATTTTTATCTAGATGGTAGGCAGATTAAAGTGGGACTAGAGTTGTCATTGGTAAAGAAACAATAATTACTCAATGTTAGCCAGAAAAAAGAGATGTTTAGGAAAGTGGGGGGTTGTAGAGGGTTTGTTTTGGATGTGGTGAGAGAGTTGCCTGATGACTGCCGACATTCTGGGAGCACGGCTTTTCACAGCCTTGCTGCCAGCTGTCAACTGCAGGGCCTGTTTTATCTTCCTGAGGTCATCGTGGACATTGGTGTTCATCAGAGTGGATTAATTCTGGTCCTGGTTCATGCTCTTTCCAGGCTGAGTTCACTCATCA
The DNA here is from genome assembly GCF_000001405.40 of Homo sapiens. Taxonomy (NCBI): domain Eukaryota; kingdom Metazoa; phylum Chordata; class Mammalia; order Primates; family Hominidae; genus Homo; species Homo sapiens. The sequence goes on along the minus strand of NC_000020.11, from coordinate 5,390,833 downwards.
AAACAAAATTGTTTCCTGGATTATAAATGCAATCTAATCAGCTTTTCTTGTTTAACTTGATATGACTGCATTTTCTCAGTCCTGATGGGAAACATTTTAGGGAAAGGTTTTTCTCAAGGTGTGCAGAAACATCATTGCAATTTATTTCAATAACTTTCTCTCTCTATGCAACTATCTATTATAGAAGATTGTATGATAGGCCTTTTATAGCTCTTCATTGGGGTCAATTTGGTATACTGTGTTTTTCTAAGAAATGTATTCACTTTGTTAAGATTTTCAAATGTATTTGCTTAGAGTTGTACAAAGTAGTCGCTAATGATTTCTTAAAATTTCCTCTCTTTTGATGGTTTTTTCCCCTTGACATTTCTAATTTTGTGTTTTCTCCAATTTTTGCAAATTGGGCTAGCTATCAATTTGTCTATTTTATTTTTTCAAAAAAGTAGGTTTTTAAAATTAATAGTTTCTTTCACCTTTATTAATTTCTTCCCTCTGCTCTTTCTGTTTTGTTGTTATTTTCTTGGTTTTTAAACTTAGCTATTTATTTTATTTTTTATTTTATTGATATAGCTATATAATTTTTTCATCTGTTTACTACTTATTATTTTCAAGAAGTTCTGCAGTTTCACTTAGTATTTCTTCTTTGACCCAAGAATTTATTTAATAGTGGGTTTTTTTAAGTTTCCAACTGGGATATTATGTTTTCTAATTTTGTAATTAATTTATATCATTTGTAATCAGAATGCAATCCTTTAGAATTCATTGAAGTTTTCTTTGTGGCATGAGATACAGTCTTTATAAATGTTCCATATACAATGAAAAAAATGTTTCCTTTTTTTTCCATTATTGCAGTTAAGAGTTAGACATTTATAAGATCTACGTAATTATTGTGTTGCATAGATCATATATATTTACTGATTTTTCACCCATATGATCTGTTTGGAATTGAGCAAAGTATGTTACAGTTTTCTACTGTTAGTGTATTTTTTTCTTCTCCATATATTTCTTCTAATTTTTGCTTTATGAAGGTTAAGGTGTTACTTCGCATAACAATATTAACAATATATATTGTTAAAGTTAATATATTAATAAATTAATATATCTTTGTAGACTTTAGCCTTATAAGGTGTCTTTTTTTGTCTTTCTAAAAAACACCTTTTACTCTTAACTTCACCTTGTCAGATATCAACATTGAGACTCCCGCTATCTTTTTATTTGCATATGCCTGATGTATCTTTGTCCATTCCTTTATTTTTAACCTTTTGTATCTTTTTGGTTTTGATTTGTCTTGTATACAACATATTGTCAATTTGCTTTGTTACTCCATCTGAAAATAATTTGTGATTACATTTATTGATATGATCAATGTTTGATCTCAATTCTTTTTTATTGATACATACTATTTGTACATATTTCTGCGGTACATGTGGTATTTTCTTACATGGATAGAATGTGTAATGATCAAGTCAAGGTATTTAGGGTATCTGTCCCCTCAAGTATTTATCATTTCTCTGTGTTAGGAACATTTCAAGTCCTCTCTTCTAGCTATTTTGAAATACACAATATAGTATTGTTAACTATAGTCACCCTTCTTTGCTATTGAACATTAGAACTTATTTCCTCTATCTAACTGTATGTTTGTGCTCATTAACCAACATCTCTTCATCCTTCCTCCTCACTTCCCCTCCCCACCAGCACACACCCTTCCTAGCCTCTGGTATATATCATTCTACTCTGTACCTCCATGAAATCAACTTTTTTAGCTCTTAAATGAGTGAGAACACGCAATATTCGTCTTTCTGTGCCGGACTTATTTCACTTAACATAATGACCTCATTTCCATCCATGTTGCTGGAAATGACAAGATTTCATTCTTTTTTGTGGCTGAAGATTATTCCATTGTGTATATATACCACATTTTCATTGTCCACTCATCTATTGATGAACACTTAGGTTGATGTCACATCTTGGCTATTGTAAGTACTACTGCAATAAACATGGGGGTGTAGGTATCCCTTTGATGTACCAATTTTTTTCCCTTGGATAAATACCAAGTAGTGGGATTGGTGAATTGTTTAATAGTTCTGTGTTTTGGTTTGTTTTTTTAGAAATCTCCATACCGTTCTCCATAGTGGTTGTACTAATTTACATACCTACCAACAGTGTATAAGAGTTTCCATTTCTCCACATCCTCACCAGCATCTGTTATTTTTTGTCTTTTTAACAATAGCCATTCTAACTGGGGTAAGATGATATCTCATTGTGGTTTTGATTTGCATTTCTTTGATAATTAGCGATAAGTATTTTTTCATATACCTTTTGGCCATTTGTGTCTTCTCTTTAGAAATGCCTATTCGTGTCCTTCACCTACTTTTTAATGAGATGCTGCTGATGATGATTGTTGTTGTTTTAGTGTTAAGTTCCTTGTATACTCTGGATATTAGTCTCTTGTCAGATGAAAAGTTTGCAAATATTTTATTCTATTCAATAGGTTGTCTCTTTACTCTGTTGATTGTTCTTTTGCTGTGTGGAAGCCTTTTAGTTTAATGTAGTCTAATTTGTCTATTTTTGTTTTTGTTGTCTATGCTTTTGAGGTCTTGGTCATATTTGCCTACACCAATGTCCTGAGTGTTTCCCCTATGTTTTCTTCTAGTAGTTTTGTAGTTTGGGCTCTTATGTTAGTCTTTAATTCATCTTGAGTCAATTTTTGTATATGGTGAGATACAGGAGTACAGTTTCATTCTTCTGCATATGGAAACCTAATTTTGCCAGCACCCATAACTAAAGAGGGTATCCTTTCCCCAATGCATGTTCTTAGCACCTTTGTTGAAAATCAGTTAGCTGTAAATATGCAGGCTTATTTCTGAGTCCTCTATTCTTTTCCATTGGTCTGTGTCTGTTTTTACATCAATACCATGCTGTTCTGGTTACTACAACATTTGCATATATTTTGAAGTTAGGTAGTGTGATGCCTAGAGCTTTATTCCTTTTGCTCAGGACTGCTTTGGCTATTTGGGCTCTTTTTTGCTTCAAAACAAATTTTAGGATTGTTTTTTCTATTTCAGTGAAAAATTGGTATTTTGATAGTGATTACATTGAACCTGCAGATTGCTTTGGGCTGTCATTTTTAACAATATTAATTCTTTCAATCCATAAGCATGAGACTTCTTTTGTTTGGGTCCTCTTCTATTTTTTCATCAATGTTTTATAGTTTTCCTTGTGGGGTCTTTTACCTCCTTTATGTATTCCTAGATATTTTATTTATTTATTTTTGTAGCTATTATAGATAGGATTGTTGCTCTCTTGATTTCTTTCTCAGCTAGTTTATCACTGGTGGATAGAAACACTACTGATTTTTGTATGTTGATTTTCTATCCTACAATCTTACTTTTTTTTTTTTTTTTTTTTGAGATGGAGTCTCACTCTGCCACCAAGCTGGAGTGCAGTAGCATGATCTCGGCTCACTGCAACCTCCGCCTCCCGGGTTCAAGCAATTCTCCTGCCTCAGTTTCCCGAGTAGCTGGGACTACAGGGGTGTGCCATCACACTTGGCTAATTTTTTGTATTTTTAATAGAGACAGGGTTTCACCGTCTTAGCCAGGATGGTCTCCATCTCCTGACCTCGTGATCTGCCTGCCTCAGCCTCCCAAAGTGTTGGGATTACAGGCATGAGCTACTGCACCTGGCCAACCTTACTAATTTTTAAACTCAGATCTAACAGTTTTTTTGGTGGAATCTTTAGATTTCTAGATACAAAATCATCTCATGTACAAAGAGGGACAATTTGACTTCCTCTTTTTCAGTTTGAATGTCTTTTCTTTCTCTTACCTGATTGCTCACGCTAGGACTTCCAGTACTGTGTTGAATAGGAGTGGTGAAAGTGGGCATCCTCGTCTTGTTCCAGTTCTTAGAGGAAAGGCTTTCAGCTTTTTGTCATTCAGTATGATGTTAGCTGTGGGTGTGTCATATATGACTTTTATTATGTTATGTTCCTTCTATGCCTCATTTATTGAGAGTTTTTATCATGAAGGAATATTAGATTTTATCAAATGCTTCTGTATCTATTGAGATCATATGGTTTTTGTCCTTCATTCTGTTGATGTGACATCACATTTATTGACTTGCATATTTTGAGTCATCCTCGAATCCTTGAGATAAATCCCACTTTATTGTGGTGTATTCTTTTTGGTGTGCTGTTGGATTCAGTTTGCTAGTATTTTGTTGAGGATTTTTGTGTCTATGTTTATCAGGGATATTGGCCTGTAGTTTTATTGTTGTTGTGTCCTTGCCTGGTCTTAGTATCAGGATAACATTAGCCTCATAGAATGAGTTAGAGAGAATTTCTTCTGCATCAATTTTTTTGAATAGTTTGAGGATAACTGGTATTAGTTCTTTGTAAGTTTGGCAGACTTTGGCAGGGAAGTCATCTGGTCTTGGGCTCTTGTTTGTTGGGAGACTTTTTATTACTGACTCAATCTCATTATTGGTCTGTTTAGGTTTCCTATGTCTTCCTGATTCAATCTTGGTGGGTTGTATGTGTCTGAGAATTTATCAATTTCCTCAAAGTTTTCCAGTTTGTAGAGATGTTCATAATAGTCTCTGATGATCTTTTGTGTTTCTGTGGTATCAGTCGTAATGTCTCCTTTTTCATTTCTGATTTTGGTTCTTCTCTCTTTTTTTCATGATTGATCTAGCTTGTAGTTTATCCATTTTGTTCAATCTTTTCAAAAAATGAATTTTTTGTTTTGATGGCTTGTTTATTTCTATTTTGTTGAATTCTGCTTTGCTCTTCATTATTTCTTTCCTTCTACTAAATTTGGGTTTGGCTTGTTGTTGCTTTTCTAGTTCCTTGGGGTGCATCATTAAGTTGTTTACTTGAAACCTTTCTATGTATTTGTAGGCATTCATTGCTATAAATTTCCCTTTTAGCACTGCTTTTGTTGTATCCTATAGGTTTTGGTATGTTGTATTTCCATTTTTATTTGTTTAAAAAATTTCTTTCCTCCTTAATTTCTTCCTTGATATAAGGGTCATTCAGGAACATGTTTAATTTCCTTGTATTTGTACAGTTTCCAAAGTTCTTCTTGTGATTCATTTCTAGTTTTATTCCATTGTGGTCTGAGAAAATACTTGGTATAATTTCAATTTTTAAAAACTTGTTGAGATACGTTTTGTGTCCTAGCATATGGTCTATTCTGGAGCATGTTCTATGTACTCATGAGAAGAATGTGTATTCTGCAGATGATGGATGAAGTGTTCTTTAAATGTCTGCTAGGTCTACTTGGTCTAAAGTATAGTTTAAATACAATGTTTCTTTGTTAATTTTCTGTCTACATGATCTGTCTAATGCTGAGGGTGGGTTGTTGAAGTCCCCAACTATTATTGTATTGGCATCTTCTATTTCTTCTTTTTTTATTTTTATTTTTTAATTAGAGATGGTGTTTTACTATGTTGACCAGGCTGGTCTTGAACTCCTGGCCTCAAGCTATCTTCCCATCTTGGCTTCCCAAAGTGCTGGGATTACAGGCATAAGCCACCAAACACAGCCATATTTCTTCCCTTAGATCTAAGAATATTTGCTTTATATATTTGGGTGCTCTAATATTGGGTGCATACATTTTTAGGATTGTTATAGCCTGTTGCTAAATTGATCTTTTTATAATTATATGACAACCTTTGTCTCTTTTTTTTAATGTTTTGACTTAAAGTCTGTTTTATTTGATAAAGTAAAGCTACTCCTGCTTGCTTTTGGTTTCTGCTTGCATGGAATATCTTTTATCATTCCTTCATTTTTAGTCTATATGTGTCTTTACAGATGAGTTTCTTGTAAGCAGCATATATAGTTGGGTCATTTAAAAAATCCATTCAGCCAGTCTATATCTTTTAATTTGAAAGTTTAACCCATTTACATTCCTGGTTATTATTGATATGTGAGGGCTTATTCCTGTCACTTAATTAATTTCTGGTTGTTTGTACATCCTTTGTTCATTTCTTTCTCTGCATTATCATTGTGGTTTGGCAGTTTTCTGTAGTGGTAACATTTAAGTTCTTTCTTTTCTTATTTGTGTGTTCATTATGCCAATGGGTTTTATACTTTCATGTGTTTTCATGGTGGCAGATACTGTCTTTTTGCTTCCAGGTGTAGGACTCCCTTAAGCATTTCTTGTAGGACCAGTCTAGTGGTAGTGAATTCCTTCAGCTTTTGCTTGTCTTTATTTCTCCTTCATTTATGAAGGATAACTTTTCTGGGTATAGTATCCTTGGCTGACAACTTTTTTTTTCTTTCGGCGCTTTGAATATATCACCCCATTCTCTCCTAGCCTCTCAGCCTGAGGTTTCTGCTGAGAAATACACTATTAGTTTGATTGAGTGTTCCCCTACAAGGGACTAGATGCTTTTTTTGCTATTTTTAGAATTCTCTGTCTTTGACTTGATAGTTTGAATATAATGTGCTATGGAAAAGATCTTTTTGAACTTTGTCTGTTTGGGGCTCTCTGGGATTCCTGTATTTTGATGTCTAAATCTCTTGACATTTTCTGCTATTATTTTATGATTAGATTTTCTAATTCTTTTTTTTTCTCTACACCTTGTGGGACACTGAAAATGCAAATATTTTGGTCACTTTGTTACATTTCCTATGTCATGTAGGATTTGCCCATTGCTTTTTATTCATTTTTCTTTAATTTTGACTAAGTTATTTTAAAAGACCCACCTTCAAGTTCTGAAATCATTTCTTCTGCTTGATCTAGTTTATTAGTGAACTTTAAAATGTATTTTTTTTATTTCATTCAATAACATTTTCAGTTCTAGGATTTCTGTTTGGTTCCTTTTTTGACATCTGTCTCTGGAAAGTTTCTCATTCATATCCCGTTTTTTTTCTGATTTCTTTGTATTGTTTGTCTGTGTTCTCTTGTATCTCACTTAACTTCTTTAATATTATTTTCAATTCTTTTTTTTGGATTTCATAAATTTCTTTTTTATTGGAATGTGTTGCCGGAGAATTACTGTGCTCCTTTGGAGGTGTCATATTTTCTTGCTTTTATGTTTCTTGTATCCTTATATTGCTATCTGCCCATCTGGTGTAATAGCCATTTCTTCCAGTTTTGGGGGTTTGCTTTCATATGGGAGGATGTTTTCCTGAAGATGTACCTTTGGTGTTGGTTGTGTAGAGCACTGTGGCTTTGATTCTCGGTGTATGCAGTAATGCAGTTTCCTTGTAATTTTTTTGTCTGTAAATAGCATCAGTGTGTCTGTGATTTATTCAGTGGCTTATGATATGGTTGTTTGAAGGCTGTGGTGAAGTTTTACTGGGAATAGGAACACCAGGTAGGCCAATCCTTGGGTCCTAGTGGTGGGAGTGGCAAGCCAAGTGTGCGTATCCTTGGGCCCCAAGGCAACATATGTTGGCACTGGTGTTAGCATGTCCAGGCAGGTTGATTCTTGGGTCTCCTGGTGGTTTTGTCAGGTGCCAGCGGTGATAGCAGTGGGCTGGGCAGGTAGGCAGGTCCTCTGGCCCCTGGGGAACAGACAATGGCAGTAGCAGTGGCAGAACAACTCTCTGGCTCCCAAGCAGCCTGCAGTGGTATTGATAGTTGCTATGACAGACTGGGCAGGCTGTCATTCCCCCAGCCCACAGGTAGTGCATGTGGGTGGTTACCAGCTATGGTGGTAGCACCAGGTTGTGTGGGCCAGTCCTCAGGCCCCCAGAAGGAGTGCTCAGGAGCCAATGGTGGTGCAATGGTGGTGGGTAAGGTAGGATTATCCTCAGGCCCCCAGAGGCCATGCTTGGGCACTGAGGGGTTGAAGTTGGGCTGGGTGGGCCTGTCTTCAGGCTTCCTTGAGGTGCACTCAGGAGCTGGTGTTCTTGGAAGTTGTTTTGATAAAGCCACATTAAATGACCAGCCTGTGATATTGTTCCATTGCCTTCCCTCTTTCTTCTCCTGAACTGAGAATGGCTCAAAAGCCTTCCCCACTCTATTATTCAGGGCAAAGAGCAGCCACCATGGAGAGCTGAGTTATAATGTCTGTTTTCTTGTGGCTATAATAAGGTTTGGAAGGAATAAAATAAAGCTATGTGTACACATGAAAAACCCACAGCTGAGTGGAAAGAGTCTGACTGATTTCCCACTATTATATTGTTTTTCACAACCTGACCACTTTTGTTATTTTACTGCACTTAGTAAAGATCAGCAATGACAAGTAAAACATGTTGGAGATTGGTGACATGTGGAGAAAATTACCCTAATTCCAAGTAAACAGAGGATTAGCACCACATACAGGAACCAAATTGAAAAGTCTAACAAGCTGGTATTAGAAGGACATCTATGCTTTCAAAATAAGTCACATCCTGGGGCTGCTCTGAAACAAGTTCAGCCCCAGGAAATGGGGCTGAAATGGGGGAAAGCCAATTTAGGGGCCAGTGAGGGGCTGGCTGGCCATGAAAAGGGAGTTTTATAAAATAGTAGAGGATTCCCAGGCGATGCATTCTTAATGCCCTGATACCTGTTCAGAAGGTTGAACCTCCAAAGCCAAAGAAACTGCTATGTTAATCTGTCACAGTAGTAGAGAAAAAATAAATAAATGAAAAATAAAAAAGAAACTGCTATGTATTAATCTGCCCACACTTTCAAGGCTCTGATTACCCACAATATGACTTAAATGGTTCTGTACTTGTTCCAAGTGTGTCTTAGTAGAGCTATGTTTTCAGTTTCTTTTGTTTCCTCCCGCTACCAAGGCACTATTCCAATGCTCTTGTTTATGTAGTTTAACCTGAAAAGTGCCACTTCTCTCAAGGCAGAAGGATTTAAGCAAAGGAAGGTACATCTACCAACCTCCCAAGATAAAGCAAAACGATTTCAGATTATTAGGATGCTTGGCTAAAAAATGCACATGATGTCAACGTACCCACAGTAACAAGCTCGTGGTAACAAATGGGACCCTCTCCTGACTGACACTGCATACTACCTCCATGACTCCACTCATACTTTGTGATATGGTTTGGATGTTTGTCCCCTCCAAATCTCATGTTGAAATGTGATTCCCAGTGTTGGAGGTGGGGCCTGGTGGGAGGCGATTGCATCATGGGGGCGGATCCCTCATGAATGGCTTAGCGGTGGGAGGTGATTGGATCATGGGGGCGGATCCCTCATGAATGGCTTAGCGGTGGGAGGTGATTGGATCATGGGGGCGGATCCCTCATGAATGGCTTAGCACCATCACCTTGGTGATGAGTGAGCTCTCACTCAGTTCACACAAGATCTGGTTGCTTGAAAGAGTCTGGGACCCCCCACTCCCTTGTAGTGACATGCTTGCTCTGCCATGACTGGAAGCTTCCTGAGGCCCTCACCAGGAGCAGATGCTGGTGCCATGCTTGCACAGCCTACAGAACCATGAGCCAATTAAACTTCTTTTTTTTTATTTTTTTTATTTTTTTTATTTATTTATTTATTTTTATTATACTTTAAGTTTTAGGGTACATGTGCACATTGTGCAGGTTAGTTACATATGTATACATGTGCCATACTGGTGCGCTGCACCCACTAACGTGTCATCTAGCATTAGGTATATCTCCCAATGCTATCCCTCCCCGCTCCCCCGACCCCACCACAGTCCCCAGAGTGTGATATTCCCCTTCCTGTGTCCATGTGATCTCATTGTTCAATTCCCACCTATGAGTGAGAATATGCGGTGTTTGGTTTTTTGTTCTTGCGATAGTTTACTGAGAATGATGGTTTCCAATTTCATCCATGTCCCTACAAAGGACATGAACTCATCATTTTTTATGGCTGCATAGTATTCCATGGTGTATATGTGCCACATTTTCTTAATCCAGTCTATCATTGTTGGACATTTGGGTAATGCCGCATATCTACAACTATCTGATCTTTGACAAACCTGAGAAAAACAAGCAATGGGGAAAGGATTCCCTATTTAATAAATGGTGCTGGGAAAACTGGCTAGCCATATGTAGAAAGCTGAAACTGGATCCCTTCCTTACACCTTATACAAAAATCAATTCAAGATGGATTAAAGATTTAAACGTTAGACCTAAAACCATAAAAACCCTAGAAGAAAACCTAGGCATTACCATTCAGGACATAGGCGTGGGCAAGGACTTCATGTCCAAAACACCAAAAGCAATGGCAACAAAAGCCAAAATTGACAAATGGGATCTAATTAAACTAAAGAGCTTCTGCACAGCAAAAGAAACTACCATCAGAGTGAACAGGCAACCTACAACATGGGAGAAAATTTTCACAACCTACACATCTGACAAAGGGCTAATATCCAGAATCTACAATGAACTCAAACAAATTTACAAGAAAAAAACAAACAACCCCATCAAAAAGTGGGCGAAGGACATGAACAGACACTTCTCAAAAGAAGACATTTATGCAGCCAAAAAACACATGAAGAAATGCTCATCATCACTGGCCATCAGAGAAATGCAAATCAAAACCACTATGAGATATCATCTCACACCAGTTAGAATGGCAATCATTAAAAAGTCAGGAAACAACAGGTGCTGGAGAGGATGTGGAGAAATAGGAACACTTTTACACTGTTGGTGGGACTGTAAACTAGTTCAACCATTGTGGAAGTCAGTGTGGCGATTCCTCAGGGATCTAGAACTAGAAATACCATTTGACCCAGCCATCCCATTACTGGGTATATACCCAAATGACTATAAATCATGCTGCTATAAAGACACATGCACACGTATGTTTATTGCGGCACTATTCACAATAGCAAAGACTTGGAACTAAACTTCTTTTTTTATAAATTACCCAGCCTCATATATTTCTTTATAACAATGCAAGAAGGGGCTAACACACCTTCTTTTGAAACTATGTATATGACAGTGTCCCCAACTAGTATGTCTCTTTTTAACTGTGTTTTATGGAAGCATAATTCATATATGATGAAGGATACAATACTTACAATTCTTAAACATACATCTTGATGGCTTTATACCTCTAAGTTATGCCTGTGCAAGTTCCACCCCAATCAGAATTTAGAACAGAACATTTCCTTTTCTTTTCTTTTCTTTTCTTTTTTTTTTTTGGAGACAGGGTCTCGTTCTGCCACCCAGGCTGGAGTGCAGTGGCACAGGCTGGAGTGCAGTGGCACAATCTCCGCTCTCTGCAATCTCTGCCTCCCAGGTTCAAGCGATTCTCATGCCTCAGCCTCCCTAGTAGCTGGGATTACAGGTGCCCACGACCACGCCTGGCTAATTTTTGTATTTTTAGTAGAGATGGGGTTTCACCATGTTGGCCAGACTGGTCTTGAACTCCTGACCTCAAGTGATCCGGCCACCTCAGCCTCCCAAAGTGCTGGGATTACAGGCATGAGCCACCGTGCCCAGCCACAACTTAGAACATTTCTATCATTTCAGAAAGCTTCACTCTCCTCTTTCAAGTCAGTTGTTTCTAAGAATTTAGCATTTTCTCTTTTTGATAGGGCATTAGAAAGAAATAAGTTCATAAAAATAATGACTATGGTAACACACTCCCAAGTCCCTGGATTGGAATTGTGGTTTTCAAATGTGCTGATAGAGAGGGATTGTTCTTTACAGGTGGTGGAATGAGCATCTAACTGTGAGTCAGGAGACTCAGCTCTTCCAAATGGAGACATCAGTAAGGAAGTCCTTGCATTTCTCCTCATTCAAATCCTTCATATGTGAAATGAGCATTTGGGGTCAGAGAGCTGAGGGTTTTTTCAGCTTTAGGATTGGAAGCATTTGTAAATACTTAAAAGAATAAAGATGCTTATTACTTCTAAAACCCCAACAGTGTCAGACACACGGTAAGTGTGCAAATAATGTTAGCCACTCATTACTATCACCATCATCATCATCATCAGCCTTTCTTAATCGTTAAAGGATCAGAGAGATAGCTTTACTATTCATATTGTTTTTTCAAAATCGAAAATAGCGTTTATTTTCCAGCTATATGAATAACACACGTTCAGTGTTTCTGAAAATTCAAAAAGTAGAGAAAAGAAAAAGAAAGAATTTAGGAAAAAACTCTGAGACCCTCATTACCATTTATAGTTTGATAACCAGCTTTTCATTTCTCTTTCTTTCTCTGTATATTTACATATATAAACTTTCAAAGATGTTTTATTTTGGACACTTTTATCTGTTTTGTCTTTCTCCCCCTACCTCCAGTTCCCTCTTTTTCACCCTTCCAGGTATCTCATCATTCACAAGCTGGTATGGTATCCATCCACAATGTTCTCTGTGTTCACCTAATCATACATATGTATGTATTCACATATAAAAAGGATTTTTATGTTGTTTTACAGCTATAAATGATATATATTCATTTATATAGACATACATGTAGATATATATGTAATATATAGCCATATACCTGTGTTTTTATTTTTCTTTCTTATGACAACTAAAGCCATTAGTTATTGTACACATAATATGTTTCAGGCACCTTCTAAGCATTTAGATTTGTCATATCAACTGATCTAGTTCTACTACATATGTTTAAAGGCAACTTGACACTGCCTGGAAAGAATGACCATATATTAAATCAATGGGTTGTTAATATGTATTCATGATGTTTCAGATATTTTTCTACTAAAAATGTGGTAAATAACAAGTAAAAAATATTCTAGAAGTGGAATCTCTAGGATGAAGGTGTATGTGTTTTTAATTTTAAATATATTGGCTGCCAGGTGTCGTGGCTCATGCCTGTAATCCCAGCACTTTGGGAGGTCCAGGTGGAAGGATTGCTGAGCCCATGAGTCTGAGATCAGCCTAGGCAACACGTTGAGACCCTGTCCCTATAAAATATATATATTGTGTTAGCCTCCTCCACTGAGGGAGAGGCAGAGTAGTTTTGGTCTCACTGTATCAGGAGTTCCTGTGACGTTCTGCTGGAGTCCCATCACATTATGTAAAAGTACGGTGGATGACACCAGAAAATGGGTGGGGGGGGGGACATAAATGTAGCACCTTCCACCCCCAGCAACTCCCCAGGCCACCCCAATCAGAGCCCTGCATGGGAGGATTCCACTCCCAAAGCTACGTTTGCATGCACACATGGCCCATATTTATAAGGTTCCACTCTGCAGAGTATAGAACTCAAGTCCAGATGGGAAAGAATAAGTCACAACTAAATTCATTGATGATGATGCAATCCTAAAAGAGAATCTTGGGAAGGTAGACATATAGGGTACAGATATTGCCCTGAAAAATTCAGTGATGTCCAAAGCTTCCAAGATGCACCTTCTAGACTATGTATTCAGTTTCCTCCAGGACTCCAACAAACAAAAGCATACAACAATGAGGGTCTGCCCAGCCCCTTTATTCAGTGTGGAAACAGATATCTGATTCTGAAGGGCTGCTGGCAGGCATGAAGATTTGGATGAGTAGCTCACCCTGCCAAGAAAATGGAGGCAAGCTGGCAAGAGCAGAGGTAGAGCCCTTCAGCAATGGCCTTTTCAGAGAAGAAATCCCCTCCCACTCCAGAAAGGATCTGCTCAATACCTGAGTACTCTCCAGGAAACCTGAGTGTGCCACAGAAGCAGCACCATGGTAGGAGCTTGGCCACTATGGACAGCAATGCCAACATCTACCGCCTGATACAAAAGATGGAGATAATGGTGAACCCACTCTTTCAACATGTCCTAGCTGCTTAACAAGGTGAACCTGCTTTCTGTGGAGCAGAACTAAGAAGCAGATGAGTCCCACGGAGATAAAGGCTAAATCACAGGTACTCACTTGCCCCCAAACACAAAACATGGCAATTAAGTTCCAATATATTGTGGACCAGAACTTGGATGCTGTTCTAGTCATCTACTGCTATGTAAAACAACAACAAAAACAAAACCAGCAACAAAACATCTCAGTAGTTAAAACAACAAAAGTCATTTTGCTCATAAATCTGCCATTTTGACAGGGCTTGGAGGGTACAGTTCATCTCTGCTCAATGTGGTGTCAACTGAAGCAACTGGGGTTGAGTATCCACTTTCAAGGATGGGTCACTCTTATGGCTGGCAACTTGGTGCTGTCAGCTAGGAGAAAAGCCAGAGTTGGCATCTGGGGCTTTAGTTCCTTTCCACATGAGTTTCTCCACAGGTCTTCTTGAACTTCCTCACAATATGGACAACTGGGTTTAAGAGTGAATATGTCGAGAAGCCTGGGCAGAAGCTGAAAGCTTTCCTCTTACCTCATTTCAGGAGTCCTAACCCTAACTTCGCTGCATTCTTTTTGACATTAAGTCCAGCATAAAATCAAGGGGAGGGGAATTAGCAGCCACCTCTCAATAGGAGGAGTGTCGAAGAGTTTCCTGCCCTCTTTAATCTACCACTGGCGGGGCCCCGTGTGTGGCTGAACAGCTCTCCCTAGAAGACGGCTCAGGTGTGTTTGAGCTTGTCATTGTGCCTCATCAGCAAAATGCCATATTCACTCTGTTAGGAGAGAACACAGACTGATTATATGAATTTAGTCAGACTTTGAAACCCATGTTGGCCAAATCACCATTTGTGTTGAATCCACCCACTGTCCTCATATCCTTACAAATCCTTATGCACGATACTTTCACTGACTTACCTTTTAGAGGCCTAATGCCTAAGAGGAAAAAGCACTCTAACCCAAACTGAATACATCATATCAGAAATCTGGAAAAACTAGTGGACTCATTTAGAGTTCATAATATTATTGTGGAATTTTGCAAGTTCAATAGCCTAGTGGTTTTACAATTTTGCTAACTTAGAAACTTAGAATGTAGCTACAGCAGAAGCCATCTGGGTATTGTCTTAATTCAGCCAATAAGGACTTCAGCTTCACCAGCTATATGACATAGACTTCCCTCCTGCACAGCAGCCACTGTTCATTTGCACAAGGTCTGAAACTAGAATGCCTTATGTACAGTATAATGTGGACTGTCCTGATTTTCATGAATTATTTTTGAACGTTATTGACGGATTTTTTTCTGTTGAACCTGTAGGCCTAAGATATTAAAATTTAGACATGCTCAGGGATTTAATGAAGCACTCTATCTTCTTCTCTCCCATAAACACTCACACATACACACACACACACGCTCCTCGTGGGCACCATACATTTCTTCTTGATTTAAAAAATAATCCCCATAAATATGTACAACTCTTATGTACCTATCATAATTAAAAATAATTTTTTAAACCCTGAAGTGAGGTAAAGGGGACCATGTTCACCTTTTTTGTGGATGGACAGAAGAAATTGCAGGAGCAGCCATGACATTCCCAGCTGGTTCCCCATTTGTGCTTTCCTCTACTCCGAGTTCTGCCAATAGACACAAGCACAGGTCTTATCCAGCTGTGGTAGTGACACTCTGCACCCTGGAAGCAATTCTGGCCTCTGAGATGTGTCTAAAGAGAACTCTAAGCCTCAGAAAAATTGTCTTGATGGACTGTGGGCCTATAGCTCTGCAAGCGTAATTATTTAATGACTTTAAAAAAATCACATCTGCCCTTGTTTAGAGAAACATTCTAAAAATTTTAAAAGTCTCTTTGCAATGCAGAGAATGCTACAAATTTTCTGAAATTGTTGCTTGGATGTTTTCCTTAATGCCAAAACCATGTAAGACTTCTACCTCCAAAATATGGGTGTGGATTCGTTCTAGAACAATGTAATGCACCAATAACCTCAGAAGCTGCCTCCTGTCCTTAGTCCACTCCCTCAGGAAATGTCTTCCCCCTCTTCTATCTTCTCACTTGTCTTTAGTTTTCCATCCCTATAGTGGAGACAACTCCAAGCGATAGTGGAACAGAATACTTATTATTTTTCCATAATTTAATGTGTTCCAGAAAATATACTGGCAACCATTATTTTTCTCCTTCTAAATTCTTTGATTTAATTTTGTGATCTGGTGTTATTGTCTTTTTTTCCTTATTTCTTTTGTTTTTTTTCCCCCTTTGGTCTTTGTGTCATAAAAGGCAAGAGAAGGGGCACAGATGTATTCTGAGTTAAAATAAAAGTGCAGTAAGGCACCATAAATAGTATAACCATTTCCTCTGTTCATAAGTTTTAGAGGATTGTGTGAAATTAGTTGTGAATGCACTAATTCTTCCAACCCTGCTTCAGTTCATTCTGGCCATTTCTATAGAAACTTTTCTCGGGCCAGTTTTCCTTGTGCATCTCATGGGATAATCAGGCAATGAACAAAGCCACATCCAGAAGTCCCCTTCCCCCTGCCCCTAGACCTCTGATTTCTGGCCCTGTTAACCAGGGTCCAGGCTGTGCTGGCTCCCCATGGGCCACCCTGGCTGCCATGCACGACAGCATCTGGCCCTTTATTAAGTGGTGACAGCAGCCTGATTGCATATTGCTTTTCCCATCTAAGCAAAATTGTTGCATTCCACGGGAACCATTTGCTGTATAATGCACCACCTGGTCCTTTGGGATAAGAAAATAATTGATTATTTTTGAAGACTCTTAACTCATCCTGCCGGCTGCACCATATGAAGAGAGGGGGCCCTAAACTTGTGCGACAGCCAAGCTTTCACTAAAATGAAGTAAGCGGCTGAGCTTCATGAAGCCAACAGTTCCCTCCTAATTAACTTGTTTTTTAAAAAACAGATTGTGATAAAATGATTGCTGTATGCCAGGCACTGTTTTAAGGATTTTATAAATGTTAGCTCATTTATCCTCAAAGCAACCCTGATCTATGGGGGTGGGAGGTGGGACTGTTTCTTGGTCTGATGCATGGATGTGTTCCGTTTGTGAAAATTTGTCTACTCTACACTTACATGTACTTATGTATGCTATCTTTCAAAAGAATTAAAACAAGTTCCACTTGATGCTATTATTTTTCCCCTTCTACTGATGGGAAAACTGAGGCATGGAGCTTGTTTACGGTCACATAGCTGAAAATGGTACCCTGGAATCGGAACCCATTCAGATTCTGGACTCCAGGCTCTCACTCTGCTTCACTCTCACCCTCTGAGCATGGTATTCTGGGGAGGAGCTCTGCAGGGAGGAGGAATGAGAAACACCTGTCCCCTCACACTGCTGCCAGAAGGGATCCCTGTGAGAAATGAGAAGGGATCCCTACAGTGAAGGAGGCCTCCTTTGGTCATCAGCTTGCTCGTTGTTTGCAGATCGTTCTGTGGAGAAATCAGGTTCAACCCAGGAACCAGAGAATACAGCGTTGGCTTGGCCAAAGTGAAGCTGCCAACACAATGAGAATAAGAGAATGAGAATGGCGTCCACCGAAATACAAGCAGGACAGGGAGCCAGTCGGCAAGATGGAAGGGGAGTCAAAGATGCGCTAGATCACCAGAAAGCTGATAAGGAATTAGTCAGGAGCGGCCCCCAGGGGGAACAACAGGAAGATGCTGGATACAGGACATAGAATCACACAGAGACTCAAAGCAAAGCATGTTCTGCAACCGTCTGGCTCCATAGGTGGTTGGTAGAAAGTGTGTTCATCAAGAAGTGAAATAAAAACAATTGAGTTAGTTATGTGCTGCTTTCCATCATTCTAGTAAGAATGAAACACGGGTGCATGTACAAGCTACAAAATATAAATTGTTTCCATGGTTTCACATACCAGTTGAATGTTCTTATATTTGCACATAAAGCTGACATTACATAAAGTTTATGCTAGTGTAAAATTTTAATTTTTCTTCACTTAGAACATTAAATAGCAAATTTTAAAAACCCCAGCCCAAGTCAAAAAAAAAAAAAAAAGACTCAAGATGAAATAAAAAAGCGTTGTACTTTAGTAACTTTAATGGCCTTTTTTTTTTTCCTGCATTTTACACAAGACCTCAAAAATTATGGAGCTGGCCCTGCCTACAGAGGAGCAGCACTAGGGAATTTCAAGGGGGTTCTGGAATTATTCTATATATTGACTGTGGTGATGGTTGCCCTCAGATAGCTCCACATGAAAAAGGTAAATTCTACTATATATAAAGTATCTCAATTTTTTTAATGGGGAAACATTTTAAATATTAAGGGCTGATTGCATATGCCTTTCATGGCTTTTATTGACAGTGAGAGTTAAATCCAACAAGCCTGCATTTGAGTTTGAAATCTGTGGAAATTGCCACCCAGTACAATAAAATAATGAGTTCCGAGTGGATATTTGTTCCTTAAACTTTTGGATAATTGTGCTAATCAGAACCTCCTGCCTTCTCAGAATCCCTGCCTGGCTTTGCTTGTTTTTACCCCAGACAAAGCTGGCTGGTGAAGACCACTTTCTCTCAACAGTAGAGCATCCCTGGACAGGGGTGACCCAGGTAGAGGCTGGCTGCGGTAAGAACAGGCTACATGCTGACCTGACACCTGAATCCCCACATGACATGCTCTCCCTGCAGGGGTGGCCAGGGTTCTGCGGGCCTCGACAGGGGCCTGCCTGCTCTCCCAAAATCTCCCTTGAGGGCTCAACTCCACAAGTCTCTCTTTAGGGCTCAAAGTACAGGGTTCCATCCATTTACCATCCTGCAAGGCGAGCAGAAGCTTTGAAGGCTGGTGTCTCCTTGTCTCCATTTCACACTGTCCTTAGGACCTAAGTTGCATTTCCTTCCAGGCACTTATGACTCTCAACCATGTGGTGAATCTCTCCAATATGATTGGTTCTTGGTAACTTTTGTCCAAAGAGTGGATGAATAACCTGTGAATAACCTCAGACCCAGCTGCTCTCAACAGCTAATTCTCCACCTCATTTCCTCACTTCTGTACTACAGGATCCCAGGCTCTCATTATCTGAAGCAATTTGCAAAATTTCATATACTTAACAAAGAGTGAGCCCGGAATTTGAACCAAGGCACCCTCAACCCCAATGCACACATATTCCACCTCCCCCCACAGCAATAGCAGGGACCACAGCTCATCATCAATGTGTCCAGTCATTCATTTTGTATTTTTCCTCTGCAAGTTTCACTCAACTGATAAAAGACTCAGAATGTTGAGACAAAAGTCTGGCTCTATGTTGAGGGAAAGGCACTTGTCTTGGAAAGCCATGGGGTTGAACAATTACCACCCTGGGAAAGTTGAGATCATGTCAGCTTCCTGGTGGTTTGAATGATACGGTATTTCGGAAGGTCATAAATGTTTTTAAAATAGATTAGGGAGGATCAGGTGTGCCATTTAGGGAGTGGGATTGCAATTTTAAATGGGATGATCAGGACAGGCCTTATTTAAAAAGTGACATTTGAGCAAAGATTTGAGGGAGGTGAGGAAGTTAATCCAGGGCCACCTGAGGTAAAGGTGTTCAAGAGCACGAGCCACCAGTACAAACGCTCAGGTGCAGTGTGCCCAGCATGAACAACAAGCAGCAGGGGCTCAGTGCAGCCAGGAGCAGAGCCAGCAGGGCTGAGCGGTCAGGGAGGTCAGAGCCCACTGTAAGGACTTTGGCTTTTACTCTGAGTGACCAGGAGAGAGTTTGAAAGACTTTGAAAAAACTACATTTATGTTTTGCAGGATCACTTTGGATGCTGTGTTAAAAGCACAGGATAGAAACAAGGAGACAAGCTCTGAAGCTAATATCAAAATTCAAGTGAGAGGTGGTCGTGGTTCAGACCAGGGAGCTAGCTGTGGAGGTGAGGGCAAGTGAACAAATTCTGGATAGATTGTGTGTGTGTGTGTGTGTGTGTGTGTGTGTATTTTTAAGATAAGGTCTTACTCTGTCACCCAGGCTAGAGTGCAGTGGCACAATCATGGCTCACTGTAGCCTCAACCTCCTGGGTTCAAGCAATCCTCCCGCCTCAGCTTCCCAAGTAGCTGGGACTACAGGCATGCACCACCACACCTAGCTAATTTTTTATTTTTTGTAGAGATGAGGGTCTCGCTATGTTGCTCAGGCTGCTCTCAGACACCTGGCCTCAAGTGATCCTACAGCCTCAGCCTCCCAAAGTGCTGAGATTATAGGTGTGAGCCACTACCCCTGGCCCTGGATAGAGACTTTAAATGGGGGCCCAAAAGGGTGCTCTTACAATAGGAAGTGGAATGTGAAAGGAAGACAGTAGACTCCAGTTTTCAGGAATCTGAGGAAGTGGAAGGTTGAAATTGCCATCAACTGAGAAGGAAAAGTTTATGGATAAAGTAAGTTTTGGGGGGAAGATCAAGAGTTCAGTTTTGGACATACTGACCTTGAGATGCCCATAAAACATCCAAGCAGAGAGGCCCAGCAGGGCAGCTGGGTGTATCAGACTCAAGAGAGAGTTCTACCTGGAGATGGCAAATGTAGCCATGTCACCGAGGGAGGTGTAGGAGTAGAAGGGGTGCAATATCTTTTCTCCCCATTATAAAGATCACAGCTGACACTTTTATAACAAAAGACAGGTTAACAAGAAGAAAGAAAAACAGACTTTTTAAATCAAAATGTTACATGATACGGGGGCCTTCAGAATGAAGACCCAAAGACTCAAGGAAAAACTCCATTTTTATGATTGGACAAAAAAGGTATGATCTAATGGTAGATTGATGTGGGGAAAACCAGCAAAGCCTGTCTATTCAGATTCTTCTTGGCGCTCCTTGCAGCATTTCTTCTTCCAGGGTATGGGGCAGGACCCCACCTCGAATGAGGGTCTTATGACCTACTATCAGACAAGGGTAGGTCAGAGAATTTCTTTATGGCCAGCTCTTACACAGAAAGGTGGGGGACAGTTAGAGTGATAATTCTAGTTGCTGTGGCTGACTTTGGGGAAAATGCGTTCTAGTTTTTATGATATGCCTTGAGGAAAAAGAATTCTGATTTCTATGGCTTGCTTCCAGGAAGAATGAGGGGCAGGAGGCAGGAGGGCAAGAGAAGGTCAGAGAGACTCTGGTTCTGAGGCTGCTTCTGATGTCTTCCAATGTCCTTTAGTTCAAAGTACTCAGCATGCCCAGGCACCATACTTTGGGGTGTCGTTTTTTTGAGCCCCAAACAAAGGAAAAAAAAAGATGAGGTCTAGCTTACAAGTGAAGAATTTGGAGGAGCTGGCCAGCTTATCTGCAGTGACAGGAGGGAAGTGAGATTACGAGGGTGGTGGGAGGGTGGGGGCACTGCTTGTGGAAATCTTTGGATTATCTCTGACTGCTTTCATTTTCTCATTGCAGTAGGAAACAAGGTCATGAGCTGAGTGAGAGTGAGAATGGGGTGGAGGTGATGGAGGTTATACAATGCTATAACTTTCAAGTCTCACTCCAGTATCTTAATTTTGTTTTCCATGTCTTTCCCTATGCAGAAGTCCTTCATTTTTATAAAGTCATTTATGTTAACAATTTCCTTTATGGCTTTAGGATTTCAGTCTTATTTAGGAGGTCCTCCCTCAGACAAAGATTATAAAATTATTCTCCTGTATTTTCATCTGGTACTATTAGAAATCATCTAGATCTCTAATTATTCCTTAATTTAATTTTGTGCATGAGATATGGTAGAAACTGACTTTCTTTCCCTCACAGGAATGGTAAATTATCTAATACCATTGGTTAAATGGCCCATCATTTTTCCATTGATTTGAATTATTAACTTTATCAGTTACTAG